>NC_000011.10:103233030-103536060 GCF_000001405.40 Homo sapiens | reverse complement strand
AAGAATGTTATAGACAGACATCAGGATGACAAAGTATACACCATGCTTTTAAATCCTGTTGGAAATAACATATCCCTTCCAGTCATATTTCTTTTCTATTCTTAATTGACAAATAACATACTTAGAGGGGTATAATATGATATATGTTCACAATATGGAATAATTCAGGCTAATTAAAAGTTTATCACCTCACATACTTATTTCTTTTTGTGGTAAAAACATTTAAAAGCTACTCTTCTAGCAATTTTGAAATATGCGAAGTCATATTTCATTAGCCAGACCAAGCTACATTGTCAAGACTGGTATCAGTGATGGCACATGACTGATACAGTTTATCACAGTATGAATCTTTCAATGTAAATGTTTATAAAGAACTTCTAATAATACTAGGAGTGTCTTATAGTGTTAGAGACAAATGAAAAATATGCTAATATATTATGTAAATGCAAATTTGGTTTTTAAAAGGCTCAGAAAATATGTATAAGCCAAATGTTCACCCAAGCATCATGGTTACATCTAAGATATATGATTATAATAAATTTTCCTGATTTTTTTAAAAAAATTTAAAGCTGTATTTAGGAACAATTGAGCTTCAATAAATTTCACATGTTTAAAGTTTATAACCTGATAAGTTTTGACGTAGGTATACTTGATGGAACCATCAACAATCAAAGTAAAGAACAGATGTGGTACATCCACCTCCACTGAAGGGCAACCAGTGTGTCTGCTTTATGTAACTGTAGATTCCTTTGCATTTTCTAGAATGTTACATAAATAGAATCATACTAGCTAAATATGTATCCTTCTTTAGTCCAGCTTTTTTCAATCAGTATAATTATTTTAAGAATCATCCAGGTTGCTGCATGTATCAGTAGTTCATTCCTGTTTACTGCTGAGTATAATTCCATTGTGTAGGTATACCACAATTTGTTTATCCATTCGTTATTTTTAAATTTTTATTTTCTAATTGTAAGTTGACAAAGGATAATTGTATATATGTATTATAGTTGCATATATGTATGGTGTTATGATTTATAAGTACAACGTAGCATAATTAAATCAAGCTAATGAACATATCCATCACCTCAAATACTTACCATTTTTTTGTGATGAGAACGTTGGAAATTTACAATTTTAGTGATTTTGAAATGTTCAGGACATTATTATTTACTATCTTTACCATGCTGTAAAATATAGCTCAAAGAAAAACCTACTCCTCCAGTCTGAGGCTTTGTACCCTTTGACCATCATTTCCCCATTACCTCCACCCCTCAGCCTCTGTAACCACCATTCTACTCTGTGCTGCTTTGAGTTTGATTTAGATTCCACATATGAGTGGGAACATGCATTTATCTTTCTACATGTGGCTTATTTCACTTAGCATCATGTTCTCCAATTTCATCCATGTTTTCACAAATGACAATTTCTTTTTAGTTGTTGAGTAGAATTTGGTGGGATTGCTGGATCCTAAGGCACTTTTGTTTTTTAGGTTTTTTTTTTTTTTGAGGAACCTCTATACAGTTTTCCATTATAGCTGTACTAATTGACATTTCCAGCAGCAGTGTACAAGGGCTCCCTTTTATTCACATCCTCACTAACACTTGTTATCTTCCTCTTTTTGATAATAACCATCTGACAGGTGTGAGATGATATCTTATGGCTTTAATTCACATTTCCCTAATGACTAGTGATGTTGAGCATTTTTAAAATATATCTTTTGGTCATTTAGATGTCTTCTTTTGAGAAATGTGTATTCAGTCCTTTGCCAATGTTTTAATCAAATTATTTTTCTATAGAAAAAACTTGAGTTCCTTATATGTTTTGGATAATAATTCCTTATCAGAGCTATGGCTTAAAAATATTTCCCCCCAATCTGTTAGGTTGTTTCCTTTGTGCAGAAGCTTTTTATTTTGATGTAATCTCATTTGCCTATTTTTGCTTTTATTGCCTGTGCTTTTGGTGTCAAATCTAAAAATTCGTTAACTAATGTATGCATTTTTCCCTCTGATTTTTTTTTCATATAGTTTGACAGTTTCAGGTCATATGTTTAACTCTTTAATAAATTTTGAGTTGATTTTTTGTATAGGGAGTGAGATAAGGATCCAGTTTGATTCTGCACATGAATATCCAGTTTTCCAAGCACTATTTACTGGAGAGACTATTAGTTTCTCAGTGTGTATTCTTGGCACCCTTGTTGAAAATCTGTGGACCATGCATACATATGTAGGTTCATTTCTGGGCTCTCTCTTTTTGTTCTGTTGGTTGATACATATATAATAAGGCTAGAAAGGTGGGTATGGATATGTGACTGAGATAAAATGTAACATTTGGCCAGGTACAGTGGCTCATGCTTGTGCACTGTGGGAGGCTGAGGCAGGTGGATCACTTGAGGCTAAGAGTTCGAGACCAGCCTGGCCAACATGGTGATAACCTGTCTCTATGTAAAATACAAAAACTAGCCAGGCATGGTGGTGCATGCCTGTAATCCCAACTACTTGGAAGGCTGAGGCATGAGAAAGGCTTGAACCCGGGATGCAGAGGTTGCAGTCAGCCAAGATCACACCACTGCTCTCCAGCTTGGGTGACAGAGTCTCACTCTATCTCAAAAAAACCACAAAAAAACAAAAAAGTAATACTTGAGATGCAACCACACATAGAGGGGAGGAAGGAAATGTGCTTGGTGGGATAGTATTTCTATTGGAAATCAGCAAAGGGATGAAAGAGGGCAGTTATAGAAGTTGATACATAAGAAAAGTCAGAAGCCAGAATGAGGAGGGCTTTGAATGCCACAAAAAGAGGTCTGTACTTAACTCATTAGACAGTAGGAAGTCATGAATAGTTTCTAAGTGGGAAAAGAACATGATAAAAGCCATGATCGGAAAGTTGAGTCCAGTGACCATTTAGGAGGTTATTGCAAGAATCTAGAAAAATAGAAAAGAGGTCTGAACCAAAGTGAGAAATGTGGGGATAGAGAAGGGGAATAAAGCTCTGGAGGAATGAGTGGAACCAGGGCTGCCTGAGGGCAAGGATCCTGCCAATTTGTCTGAATGTGTCGATGGCTGGGGAAATAGTAGGTATTTAACAAATGTTTGTTGAATGAAGAAAAGAGGAAAAGAGGGGAAAAAAATGAAAAAATAATATCTAGAAGTAGTAAGATGTGTGGTGAACTGTTACATGGGACAATTCAAAATTAGGGTGGAAGTTTTCCTACATGCTAGGGAAGAAAATGTTCATGCAATTTCTTGCATCGATCCATGTTTAAAATGTGTGTGTTTCTGTGTGTGCACACAAGTGCACTGAATGCAGAAATTGGTTTGTAATAACTAGCGAATGAAATCTTGTAAATGGTGACTCCGAAATCATCCCTATAAACTCTGCATTGACATCTACTGCATTTTTCAAAGATGATGTCAGAGCCACTTACTCCTAATCTTGGAATGCAACATTCACCAATTTTATTTCCTGTCCCAATTCCAAGACCAAACCTTCAGAGAAAAAGGAATTATTTTTCCTATGGAATTTACCAGCCAGTGCCACTCAGATTGCAGAATTATAAAAAAGGAAGACCTAGAACTTCAATTCTATACTTTTGTAGTTTTGCAAGCATGAATAAATCACTTATTTTCCTCCTCTATAAAATGGAAATAACCCCTGCCTTGCAGAGTTGTTGTGAGAACAGAATAGAATGATGCTGTAAGGGAAACAAGTGAGATGACCAAGACTTACAATATCGTTCCCCACACCAGGCCTTGTTCTGTGTTGTCCATATGCTGACTCATGATCCTAGGTTAGGTGCTGTTATCTTCCCATTCTACATTTTAAAAAGCTTTATAGTAAGTAAAAATGCTTAATGGCTCTGATGATTATTTTTCTTATAAACTTTATCCCCTAAGATAGGTAGACCTTTAGTTTTGCTGCCATTCTATTGTATCACCACACTCTCCCACCCCTCTGAATATAGTGTAACATGGGGCAAGAGAATGTCTTACAATTGCTTTAGTACAAGACTTTAATAACTAAAACAAAACAAAATATAAAAATTTAAAAATCCTAAAAGCACCCTACAGTTATCCCTCCTGTGGTTACCGTAGAGTCCATTTTCCTGAGTCTAATCTCTTTTAAATAGAAAGAGGATGTGAGGCTCAAAGAGATTTATAGGGGTATTGTAGTTTTGATGTAATATTAAGAATATTTTATTCCTAGAATTGCAGGGTCAAAGAGGACAGATTTGCTGAGAATAACTTCCCCTCAAAAGAAAATCACCAGGAGCAGAGAGACAACTAGATTATTCTTCCCAAGAATAATCTAGGACCTCTTTCTGGTCCTGATAATAATCCAGGACCTCTTTCTGGTCCTGATCCTGATGCCCTGGGTGAGCCCAGGAGGGCTCAGCAGAGAAGAAGGGGGCTGGCAACCAGAATGAATAGCTATGTTCTCACAAACCTGCAGACACGATTTCCTGGGAAGACAAAAGTGATGATCCAAGACTGCTACAGCCATGATAGGAGATGAAAGTACGAAGTGTGGAGGGATGGAGAGCTGGCTTAGAGCAGGAGGGAGACACCAGAAGGTTCCTGAGCCCTAGGACAGGAAAGATTCTTACCCACTCTTGGGTGACTGTGAGTGATCTGAGGATGATGCTGATGTGAAACTGAAGTCCCACGGATTTGACACTTAAACCTCTTTCTAAAATTTTGGGCTTGTGCCTTGTAGCTCAGGTATCCAGTGCAGTACCTACACTTTTCCATAAAAGGGACCTCAGTTTTTTGCACCAAAAATGACTTGGTTATAGACAGAGAAGGAGAGAAGGAGATATGGAATGATGTGCTGAAAACATGGCCCTTGCTGCATTTAGCTTCTCACCCCACATCCTCTCCTGTTTTCTTCTGGTTCTGATGACCAGATCCCCTACCTCAGAGATTATGCCTCCCCCATACCTGAGGCAAGCTCCCAACCACAGGGACTGGATTCTTAGCATTGAGGCTCCACCTCAATGCTTTTGGAGGAAAGCATTGACAGGGACCACACAGGCTCTGCCTTTGAAAAGCTTATAAAAGTCCTATGCTAGTGGAAAAGTAAAATGAGCATTTGACTGGGAGAGGGCCTAGATTCTGGTCCTCATCCTGATGCTTTCTAGAAATTGGCTTGGAATCATTTATTTAACATCTTCAAACCTCAGTCTCCTGGTTTTAAAGGGGGTAATTGATCACGCATCATAGGTTTATTAAGAAAATAATACCAATAGAACATGTATATAAAACTTATTCTGTGCCAGGCTCTGTTCTAAGTGCTTTATATACAAATAATTGGATCCTTAAACAATCCTATCATATAGGTACTATTATTATCCCCATTTTGTAGATAAGAAAACTGAGGTACATAGAGGATCGGTAACTTGTACAAAGTGACAAGCTGATAAGGGACAGAGCCGGGACTTGAATCCAGATTGCTTACCTGGAGAGTGGGTCTACCACTGAAACCTGTAAAATGCTATTCAAATCAGGCATCATTGTTTCCACAAACTGGGATGCAGAAGAGTGGATGGATGTTAAAGGACTGAGTAAGAACTAACTAGCACAAGCTCACATTGGCATATGATGACACGCTCACATCCTGAGGAGACGCTACACACATTTTCACATTTCCTAGTAGATAAGAGAAGTGGAGACATTTCGAGAGGACTTTCCTTGTATAAAGCCATCTTTGGCAAAAGCAATCTCAGGTACCTTAGTATTTGCCTCCTAGGCTCTTTTCTCAAATAGTTTTCCTGCTGTGGAAATAGTACTTTAAAGCTGCTATTTAATATCTGCTATCCAAGTAGAAAGAGCATGAGCACTTTCACTGATGTGTTCTTCAGTAGTTTTCAGGCTCCTTTTCTACAATAGGTGCTCAGAAAATCAATTTGGAATGAGGCTAAGAAGGCAATTCTTTAAAGCCCAGGAAGGCATTGGCAGGACAGAGAATCTGAAACAAACAAAGCCTTGGTAAGTTTATCATCAGTCAAGACACTCAGGACTTGTTCATAAGTGGGTTACAAAGCAAAGCAAAAGTTTCTGAGTAAAACTCTACTGGTGAATCCACGTACACCTCATCTGAGTCCTTCTATATTCAATCATAACTTTAAATTTTGGTTAGATTATGTTTAAGCAATTGAAAAAGCGTTGTGGGGACTATGTTTACAGGGTAATATGCATTTACTTTATGAGGAAGATGAAATATTTGCAAATATTAGACAAGATTATCAGGAATGTCTATGTGTACCATTTTTGTAAGTAAAGTTTTACCTAGGGTAAACTTTAATCAGACCATGATTTTTGCTGTTTTCCCAAAATACACACACACACACACACACACACACACACACACAAATCTTTGTATGACGTGTCAGGGGAGGGATAGATGGTGCTGGGTGGTGAAGGCTTGATAGATTTTCTGCTATACGTGTCAGTGAGGAGTAGACTCATTCTCCTTTCCTGTCACATTGTTTGAAACAAAATGTTTCTCCCCCAAACATATGACTCCAATAACCTTGGTGGCAGCTTTGCCAGTTCTGATGGAACAAGAGGCCGTGAACACTTGATCCTACAGATTTGCTTGTCATCTCTGCCATTGAGTCATGCTAGCCCCATTACTAGGCTGCAGAAATCTGTCATTTACTAATCTGCTTGGAATGTCAAGGAAAGCAGAGCTGAAGCTTTGATGGGTGAATCTCCTGTCCTGGATACTCTCTGCTGGGCTCAGAAGAATGCCAAAAGAGCTGGCAGCTGAGTGGAGTTTTGATTAACTGTACTGGTGTGTACCCACTCAAGCGTCAGTGAGATTGGTTATTGTCAGTCAGCTGTCTCCTGAGTGCTGAATTCTCATTTAAGCTTTTGTATTTAACGGGAAACTCACAGTTCTCTCACTCTGGAGTTTTAAATGAAGTTCAAATCAGATGTAATTTGCAGTTTTATAAAAGCTATGCAATATTTTCTGTCTCTGTAAGTAGCTCAGAAATGGAATTGCCTTTAATGATTATAACTTCTTATTCTCAAATTTGCATTAATGCATGTTCCCTAACAAGACAAAAACATTTCCCCACCAAGCACATCCATATGAGGGGTATGCTTATGCATATTAGTGTTCCCAGGTACAAAGCTGCTTCATTTCAGCTGCCATGACTTGACTTTCATTGTTTTAAGGGCAATTTGAATGCATGGGATTCACTGGAACACAGATGCACTCTCCTCATCTTTCAAAACAATCAGCAGTTAGATTACAACAGGCTTTGATTAATGCAGGGCTTGCATGAGAATGCAAGCCAACGTGTGTCTAATTGTTTAGCAACAAACATAGGCCCCCATTTAATGCTCTGGAAATTAGCACTCTCTTTAAGAGCCAAATCAAATATTGTATTCTGGCTCTGCAGACCACAGGCATCTAACAGTCCGCAGGTACTACTGTTGTCCTCTAGAATAACTGTGCTGGTTTAGTATACAAAGACTTTTGGTTAGGGGAGTCTGGATTTTCAGCAAGGTCTTTAAAAAGTGTGCAGTGTTGCTAGTCCTTTACATACGCTGGAATTTAATGTCGGTACCACTTAACATCAGATCTTCATCTGGGTAGAACAATTTCTGTAGGAAAGACATGGTAACAGAATACCAAAATCTGAACTTAGGTTAAGAGCAAAGAAATACGTTTAACCTGTTTTGTGTTTTGTTTTGTTCTGTTTTGAACATGTCTCCATATTTAAGTGTCTGGCTTAAATGTTTTGACACCCTCTTACTGAAAAACTGGACTTTCCTGATACTCCTGAAAACCGACACCACCCCATTTCAACATAAAGGGTCCCTGTTGCACAATGGCTGACGTGAGAAGTCAAATAAATATCATAAGCATCTAGGAGGGATCACTCAGGAAAAAAAGAAGTCACATTAGTTATTGTAATAAAAATAACAATAAAAAATGGATTAAACAGGTATTGGAGAACTGAAACAGTTAAAAAAAGAAAAAAAAAGACAGAACAGAAACAGTGACTACCAAAGGCAGCTACCATTCCATAGAGCCAGGGGAACTAAGGGAAGAGGTTGGCCTTATTTGAACCTACACCTATTAGTTTGAGCCAGGGCCAGCTTCACGGCTGCGCAACCTATGCAGTCACATGGCACCCTGTGCACAGAAGGGTCTGGCTTATGTTCTGCTTTCACTGTCTGATGAACAATTTTTGAACAAGGGACCCTCATTTTTCATTTCACACCGTTATGGAACTGGTCCTGGTTTGAATCATATGAAATGTCTCTGTTTTTAGATCAAGATGTTCAACTACCAGCAATGTTATATGGTAAATAATAAAAGCTTATAGAGGGGTTGTGTGGAACTGAAGCTCAAAATGCTAGGAGAAGGGTGCTGGCTAGCTAGTGCCGTGGGGTCCCTGAGAATGATTCCAGGAGTATGAATATAAAAGGGAGATCCGAAGTCAACTGTCGCTGCCAGAAAACAGAAGCACTGACGAGTTGACACAACAGGAAGCAAACAGGAACATGTGTGTCTCTTATGTCTCCCTCTGTGTCCTTTCATTTGTAAAACTGAGTAGAGACCCTCCTGGAAAAGCAGAAAAAGCTTTGCAGAAGCTCAGGTCCAGCTTCAATAAGCAGAAAATAGAAGGGTGGGCCTGAAGCCTGCTATAGACTGAATGTTCATGTCCCTCCACTCACAAAATTTGTTTTTAAAATCCTACCACCCAAGATGATGGTATTAAGAGGTGGGGCCTTTGGCAGGTGAGTAGGTTATTGGGGTGGAGCCCTCATAAATGGATCTAGTGGATTTTTTTTTTTACTTCAACTCTCTTATAAAAGAGACCCTAGAGAGCTTCCTTACCCTTTCCGCCATGTTGAGGACACAGCAAGAAGATGGTGCTCTACGAATCAGGAGATGGGTGCTTGTTATACACCAATTCTGTAGGCATCTTCGTCTTTTACTTTTCAGCCTCCAGAACAGTAAGAAACTCATTATTTATAAGCCATCCAGCCTATGGTATTTCTCTTATAGCAGTACAAATGAACTAAGACAGTCTGGAGACAATAGCTTAAATATGAACACAAGGGACACTAAGCCAGTGAGGGTAAGTGGTTCCTGTGATATCAGAATTAAAAGAATAAATATAACAAAAATGTTAAAAAAAAAAAAAACCTTTAATGTGATACAAATAGAGTACATAAAATCGTTTCTCTGAAGTTTCAACATATTTTTGGATATAAAAAATCAAGAGGGCCGGGCGTGGTGGCTCATGCCTGTAATCCCAGCACTTTGGGAGGCCGAGGCGGGCAGATCACGAGCTCAGGAGATCGAGACCATCCTGGCTAACACGGTGAAACCCCGTCTCTACTAAAAATACAAAAAATGAGCCGGGCGTGGTGGCGGGCGCCTGTAGTCCCAGCTACCAGGGAGGCTGAGGCAGGAGAATGGCGTGAACCCAGGAGGCGGAGCTTGCAGTGAGCCGAGATCGTGCCACTGCACTCCAGCCTGGGTGACAGAGCAAGACTCCTCTCAAAAAAAAAAAAAAAAAAAAAAAAAAAAAAAAAAAAAAAAAATCAAGAGATAGGGGAACGGTCACAACTGAAAACTGCCTTATTGTTCTGGAAAACAGAAGAAATATACCATAAGAGAGCATAAATATAAAATCATAGAAAGCATGAGTAAAAAGATAAGGGCTGTAAAAGATAGATTCAGAAAGTCAATATGAAAAACTAAGTTTTAAGGTACAAAAACACACCATATGTAAGTTATATTTGAAGAATAAATACAAGAAAACTTCAGGCACAGTGGCTCACACCTACAGTCCCCGCACTTTGGGAGGCCAAGGCAGGAGGATCACTTGAACCCTGGAGTTTGAGACCAGCCTGGGCAACCTAATGGGACTGTTTCTACACACACACACACACACACACACACACACACACAAAAAAGCCAAATGTGGTGGTGTGTGCCTGTTGTCCCAGCTACTCAGAAGGCTAAGGCAAGGAGATCACCTGAGCTCAGGAGTTTGCGGCTGCAGGGAACTATGATCACACACCACTGTATTCCAGACTGGGCAACAGAGCGAGACCCTGTTTCAAGGGAAACTTCTGGACCTGAAAAAATGTGAGATTTCAGACTCCTAAATCGTAGGCAAAATTAATGAAAGAAGACACATACCTAGATATGCTAGTGAAATTCCCGAACTCCAAAGATAAAAGGCATATTTTACAATTTCCAATCAAAGAGAACTGACTACTTACAAAGGTAAGAGGATTCAAGTAGCATCAAAATTCTCTTCTACAACACAGGAAACTACAGTGCATTGAACATGTAGACTTTAGACAGCCGAGGACAGAAGTAGTCATTAAAATCAGAACCAGAAAAGGCAAGTTTTACTTGTTTATGTGACTGTATGTGTAACAAAATTCAAGCAGTTCATCTAAAAACCTCTTAGAGACGATATATCAAAGGGAGACAGGAGCCAACTTGAAAGAGCTCCCAATGGCTAAAACAGAACAATTCAAGCAACAAAATAAGTAGCATAGCATTGTATTACAACCAAGTCTTAAATATCCATGAGTACTTATATAAGGAAATGATTAATTGAATAACTACAATCAAATAGAAGAGGGCAGTATTCCTTATAGAACAATTCCAAAAGTGACTCGTAGATATTCTCTCTGTTAAGAGTTGGAGCTTATTCTCTTCCCCCACTTTGAGTGGGGGCTGAACTTAGTGACCCCCTTCTGAGTAATAGAGTATAGAAAGAAAGAAAAAAGTCACTGTACAATGGAGAAGCCCCGCAAACACTACCTTGGCCAGATGATTGAGGTTAACATCAGTAATAAATCATGTTAATGGCATGCACTTCCTGATATAAGGCACTAAAAAGAACACTAACCACAACCTTATGGGGAAAACACTGGACAAATAGAAACTGAAGAATATTCTATAAAATATCTAATCATAGACTCCTCAAAACAATGAAAGATTGAGAAACTGTCATAGACCAGAGAAGATTAAGAAAACATGGACACTAAATGTATTTTCTTGGATTCTGTTCTGGAACAGAAAAAGACATAAGTGGAAAAACTAGTGAATGCTACAAAAAGTCTGTACTTTGGTTAATAGTAATGTACCAGTGTTAGTTTCTGAGTTACAACAAATATGTGCGATTCACAAAAGGAGAAACTGGGTGTGGGGTATATTTTCTATAAATCTAAAATTATTCCAAAATGAACTTTATTTTTAGCAAAGCTATTTGAAATGTTTTTTAAAAACTCTGCTAAGGCTGCTGGATACACAGGTAAGTAGAACATATAAAAACCTAGAGTTTTTATTAATATTAGCAATAAAATAAAAATCAAAAGAATACATAATAGTGATAAGAACTACAAAATATCCAATAAAAATTATGAAACCTCTAAAACTGGAAAGACCTGAATGAGGTATCATGGCATGTTCCTGAGTAAGATTTAGTAAAAAAATGATTAAGCCTCTCCAATTAACATATAAATTTAATTTCAAAAGTGTATCTTATATAACTATACAAAATGATAATAAAGATTAGAGTTGATAAGCCATATGGAAGAATTGACAGTTTTGAAAATATTAAAACCTGTAACTTCCAGTAATGAAAAAAATGACCCAGAAATAGATAAAAATAGATCAGTAGAACAGATCAGAATGTCTAAAAACAGATCTAAGTAACTTATTGGATGAAAAAGATGAAATTTCAGTTAAATAGCTAATTAGTCAATCCAAAAATTGACTAATTAATGAGTCAATTCAAAAAATATTTGTAGAGTGCACACTAAGTGCCAGGTACTAGAATACAATAGAGAACAAGACAAGCTAAGTCTTTCCTCAGGGAATGCTCATTTTAGTAGATGAGAAAGACAATATACGAAGACAGTCACAAGTTGCTTATCTGTGGGGATATGTTCTGAGAAATGTGTCATTAGGTGATTTTATTGTGTGAACATCATAGTGTACTTACACAAACCTAAATGGTATAGCCTACTGCACACCTAGACTATGTGGTATAGCCTATTGCTCCTAGGCTACAAACCTGTATGGTTTGTGACTACTCAATACTGTAGGCGATTATAACACAATGATAAGTATTTGTATATCTAAACATATCTAAACGTAGAAAAAACACAGTAAAAACATGCTATGAAAGATTGAAAAAAAATGTTGTATCTGTATAGGGCAGCACTTAATGTGAATAAAGTTTGTAGTCCTAGAAGTTGCTCTGGGTAAGTCAGTGAGAATGGTGAGTAAATGTGAAGGCCTGGAACATTACACTACTATAAGCTTTATAAACATTGAATGTTTCAGCTACACTAAATTTATTTTTGGAAATTCTTCAATAATTAGCTTACTGTAATTTTCTACTTTCTACTTTTTAATGTTTTTGACTTTTTGGCTCTTGTAATAACACTTAGCTTAAAACACATTGTACAACTATACAAAAATGTTTTTATATTCTTATTCTATAAGCCTTTATCTTTTTAAAAAAATTTTTTTACTCTTTTGTTTAAAACTAAGACATAACCATACATGTTAGCCTAGGACTACATGGGACAAGGATTATCAATATTGCTGTCTTCCACCTCAACATCTTATGCATTCGAAGAGGGGGACTGGTAAAACAGGGAAAGCAGGATCAAATTTTATTAAGAATTTGAAAATGTTTTTATATTCTTACTCTATAAGCCTTTATCTTTTTTAAAAAAATTATTTACTTTTTATACTTTTTTGTTTAAAAACTAAGACATAAACATACATATTAGCCTAGGACTACATGGGACAAGGATGATCGATATTCCTGTCTTCCACCACCACATCTTAGGCATTGGACGAGGGGGACTGGTAAAATAGGGAAAGCAGTATCAAATTTTATTAAGAGTTTGAAGTTTGATTTAGGGCAGTTCTTTCAATGCAGGAACTGCCAGATTAGGTGTGAGTAAGGATCATGAGATAACAGTTTAGGATTTGTGGAAATAGCAAGATGAGGATTTTGAGGTAAGAAGTGTGAAGAGTCAGGTTAATGTTTACTGTTGAAGAGTTGATGGGTCTTTGGGGGAAATTCTTGTAATTAATGAAGTTATTTGCTGGGCAACTGTCACCTGATAAAACTATGTTAATTAAGACAATAGCACAGTAAAGTCATGTTAACATAGACAGTAAGCTGTGGGGGATGGATGGTTTTGGTTTTCAGTGTTCAAGATACATGTTGAGGCTAGGTTGGCTCTCAGCAATGTAAAGTAAATGACATTGATGAGAGGAGTTTCAGTGGAGTGGTGGGCAGGAAACCAATTGGAGTGGATTCTAGAGAGAATGGGGTAAAGAAGTGTTGGCTATGAAAACAGACAATTATTTCTAGGAGTTTTGCTCTAACAAAATGATAGAGGAAGATTTGCAGTCCAAGTGGATCGTTTTGTTTTAATATGGGAGATATTATAGCATATTCATCAGCTAGTGGAAATAATCCATTAGGGAAGAAAAAATGACCAATGACAAAACAAAAAATTACAAGAAAAAATTCCTTGAGTAGGCAAGAAGGAATGGGATTAAGACACAGTTAAAGTTTAGGAATAGACTATTCAATAGATTTTCTGGGCACAATTGTCTCTTCACTGGAAAATTTCAAAATGACATCTATTCTACATCTTATTAAAAAATTGATTTAAAGATATGATTGTTCAAAATGAAACTAAAATACCATATACTTTTTTTTTTATTAATATAACCTTGGGGGTTGTATTAGTTCATTTTCTTTTGCTATACCAGAATAGCAGAGACTGGTTAGTTTATAAAGAAAATCAGTTTATTTTGCTTATGGTTCTTGAGACTGCGAAGCCCAAGAGCAATGTGCTGACATCTGCTCAGCTTTCAGTGAGGGCCTTCCTGCTGCTTCAGAACATATCAGAAGGTATCAAGTGGCAAGAGGGCAAAAGCATGCATATCAACTCAGACTTCTCTCTCTTCTTATAAAGCCACCAGTCTCTTCACAGGGACTCTACGCTGACATCCTTATCTTACCCTAATTACCACCCAAAGGTCCCACTTCTGACCAACATATGAATTTGATAATTATCTTTCCAGCAAATGAAAATTTCGGGGACACATTTAAAGCCTAGCAAGGTTTGAGGTGGAGAGGGAGAGTAATTTTTAAGTAAGAAAGGTAACACAAAAGGCATTTTAAGAATGATAGCCTTACCTCATAAAAAATAAAACTTTTTTAGCCGGGCATGTTGGCACATGCCTCTAATCCCAGCTACTCAGGAGGCTGTGGCAGGAGAATCACTTGAACCTGGGAGGCAGAGGTTGCAGTGAGCTGAGATCATGCCATTGCACTCCAGCCTGGGCAACAAGAGCGAAAACTCCGTCTCAAAAATAAATAAATAAAAAATAAAACTTTTCATATGGCAAAAGATACTGAGCAAAGCCAAAACCAAAAGATAGATTGGGGAAAAAGCATTTGGAAAACATCGCAGGCAAAGGGTTCATAGCATGACTACACTAGAAAACCCTTCATATTAGTAAAGGTACCAAAGAAAATCTAGTAAAACCTGACTAAATATTATAAAAGAAAATGTATGAAAGAAAAAATGCAAATATCTAATATATTAAAACATGTCTAATCTTACTAAAGTTCTTTTAATGCAAATTAAAACAACAAAGACTCACTGTTATTGGCCTATTTGCAACAGTTAAAAAGATTGATTACATTCAGTGTTGGTTAGGGTATAAGAAAATGGACTGTCTCATTTACTGTTGGTATCAGGGTGAATTGCTCTTTTCATTTTGTAAATCAATCTAGCAGCATCTATTAAAATTAAATAGGTACATACAATTTAATTCAACAATTTTAGTTGTACTTATCTAACTTAGGCAAAAACATTTACCTACAGTAGTATTTTATTGGAGCATTGTTAATAGCAAAAAACTGGAAAAACAAAATTGAATGCAATTAACATAAAAATGCTAAAATAAATTGCACCAGATGCAGAATACAGAGTATTGTTTTGCAACTACGTAAAAGAATGCACTCGTTTTGCATGTAATGAGCTGTGAAATGTCCATGATACATCTTTAACAGCTTAATTGATATATAATTCACATATCATAAAATCCATTCCTTTAAGATATACAGTTCAGTGGTTTTTAGTATATTCGCAGACCTGTGTACTACTCTCAGAATATTTTCATCACCTCAAGAAAAAGCCCTGTATTCATTAGCAGAAACTCTTCATTTTCTCACTCTCCCAACACCACCAAGCCCCAGGCAAGCATGAGTCTGCTTTCTGTCTTTCATGGTGTCTTAGTCCATTCTGCTATAAAAAAAAAAATACCTTGGATTGGTGGCTTATAAACGGCAGAAATGTATTTCTCATGGCTTTTTAGGACTGGAAGTCTGAGATCAAGATATTGGCAGATTTGGTGTCTGGTGAGGGTCCACTTCCTGGTTCATAATGGTCTTTGCCTTGCATCCTCTCATTGTAGAAGAGGCAAGGGAGCTCTCTGGGGCCTCTGTTACTGGGGCTCTAATCCCATTCATGAGGGCTCTGCCGTCATGACCTAATCACCTCTCCAAATTCCCACCTTAAACTGGGGGTTAGATTTCAACATCTGAATTCTGGGGAATGCAAACATCCAGTCTATAACATGTGAGTTTGCTAGTTCTGGACATGTTATATAAATGGAATTATATGTGGTCTTTTGTGACTGGCTTCTTTTAGTTCATATAATGTCTTCAAGGTTCACCAGTGTAGCATGTTTCAGTACTTGGTTCCTTTATATTGACAAATAATATTTCATTGTATGAATACTCCGCATTTAAAAAAATCCATTCATAGCTGATGGGAAATTAAGTTGTTAATACTTTTTGGCAATTATGAATAATGCTGCCATGAACATTTGTGTACAAATTTTTATGTGAACATTTGTTTTCATTTCTCTTGGGTATATATTAGGAGTAGAGTAACTGAGTCATATCACTGTCACACTGATTTCCAAAGTGGCTTCATCTTGATACATTTTTTAATGGAATTAAGCAAGTTACTGTATAAGTAGTCAAACCCTATTTTTGTTTAAAAATTTTTTTTTTGAGACGGAGTCTCGCTCTGTCGCCCAAGCTGGAGTGCAGTGGCACCATCTCGGCTCACTGCAAGCTCCACCTCCCGGGTTCACACCATTCTCCTGCCTCAGCCTCCCGAGTAGCTGGGACTACAGGCGCCTGCCACCACGCCTGGCTAATTTTTTTTGTATTTTTTTAGTAGAGACAGGGTTTCACTGTGCTTGCCAGGATGGTCTCGATCTCCTGACGTTGTGATCCGCTCGCCTCGGCCTCCCAAAGTGCTGGAATTACAGGCATGAGCCACCATGCCCGGCCTGTTTAAAAATTTTTAAAACCACATGTGCATGTGGGTTTATGCATGTATCTATCAATCTACATGTATACAAAGCTTGGGAAAGCATAAGTTATTTGACCATACTGTTAATATTAATTATATCAAGAGATGTGACATATCTCTGGTTTGAATTGTTACAATGGGCATATATTACTATTAAATAAAGTACATGGAAGGCCATTGTTTTGAATTAGCCTTCTGCGCCAGGCCCCAGCAGACCAGACCAAACCAGAAGTCTTGTGCTAAGGGCACAATGAGCATATCAAACTTTGAAACAAGCTGGTTTAAAAACAAAACAAAAATAGAAAATTCTACTTAATCCGTCAGCATAAGAAGAAAGTTCTATTTTAGCCTTGTAAGAAAAGTAACTTTGAAATAACCAATCCACCTTTTGTTTTGTTTCTGCTTTTTTCAGCCTTTTCCTGCCTATAAAGCCAGCCTCTTCTCAACTCAACAGAACATTCAATTTTATAGAATGAGGTGTTGCCTCATTCTAGAACCACAATAAAAGCCAATTTGATCTTTACATTTGTTGTAATCTTGTCTTCTGACATCACTTCTACAATGAAATAGAAACTTCATATTTTTTGAAGGAGAAAAACATCTTTAAAAATTATCTAAATACAGATTGATGAAAGTCATATCATTGTAATCTAAGAGTTTTGTGTATAGGGTATGCATGTGTGTAGTTTTGTTATAGGCTTCTACAGTCTTATATCAGATAGGTGATATGGTTTGGCTCTGTGTCTCCACCCAAATCTCATGTTGAATTGTAATCTTCAGTATTGGAGAAGGGACCTGGTGGGAGGTGACTGAATCATGGGGATGGACTTCCCCCTTGCTGTTTTCATAATAGAGTTCTCACAAGTTCTGATTGAAAGTGTGTAGTACCTCCATGCTCTGTCTCTCCTTCTCTCTCTCCCTCTTTCTCTGTCTCTCTCTCCCTCTCCCTTTCTCTGTCTCTCCCTTTCTCTGTTTCTCCCTTTCTATGTCTCTCTCTCCCTCTCCCCATCTCTCCCTCTCTTCCTCCTGCTCTGGCCATGTAAGATGTTGCTGCTTCCCCTTCACCTTCCACCATGACTGTAACTTTCCTGAGGGCTCTCCAGAAGCAGAAGCCTGTACAGCCTGCAGAAACATGAGCTGGTTAAAACTCTTTTCTTCATAAATTACCCAGTCTAAGGTATGTCTTTATAGAAGTTGAGAATAATACAATAGGTTTATATTAGATTATATTAGGTAGTGATATGGTTTGGATCTGTGTCCCCACCTAAATCTCATGTCACATTGTAATCCTCATTGTTAGAGATGGAGCCTGATAGGAGGTAATTGAATCATGGGGGCAGAGTTCTCATGAATGATTCAACACCATTCCCTCAGTGCTGTTCTTGTGATAGTGAGTGAGTTATCATGAGATCTGGTTGTTGTAAAAGTGTGTAGCACCTTCTCCCTCTTTTTCTTGGTCCTGCTCCTGCCATGTAAGACGCCTGCTCTGGCTTTGCCTTCTGCCATGGGTAAAAGCACACTGAGGCCTCCCCAGAAGCTGAGTAGATGCCTCCATGCTTCCTGTATAACCTGCGGAACCATGAGCCAATTGAACCTCTTTTCTGTATAAATTACCCAGTCTTAGGTATTTCTTTATAGCAATGTGAGAACAAACTAATACAGGTAGGAACTGCTGATTGATTATGGGTTCAATCAGCATTAATCTACCAAATACCTGTTGCGTCCTATGTCAGACACATGCACCACCTCTGATCTATTTGGCCTTACTTGACCCTGGGGCTCTGGCTGCTTGTCCCACACTCTCAGATTCTGCTGCAGGAACCAACTCTGAATAGGCTGCAACTCATTTTAAATGGCACAACTGTATAGCAGTTTGCAGTGAGCAATTCCCCTCACATTGAGATATCTCTGTTGGACCCAAGGGTGAAACTCTCCAGGACCCGCTCAGTTCTTGCAAATGGGAAACTAGGAGAATGAAGCAGTTTACGTTTTATAAGGTATAAATTTTAAATTAATTCATTAATGGAAGACAGGAGCCAGCAGATAAACCCTTCTCCTTTGCCTCTCCTCTGGGTGGACTATCCTGTGATGTAGCAATTCAAATGGCCTCTTAGAAGATGCTTTCCCAAAATGAGGTAACCAATCGATCACTTTCTTAGTAACACACCCCTGTATTGTCTCTTTCTCTCCTTCCCTGCTTTCCCTGGAAAAGTAGGTATGAATAAGCTTTTGCCTCAGGCTCTGCTTTCTGGGAAACTCCAGGCTAAATCCATTTCTAGTTTCCTGTGTTTTTGTCAGAAACCATCCCTAAAACAACAATTACATCTCAGGATTCTGCTGGTTGGCTGGGTGGTCCAGCCATGAGGTTATGTTCAGCTGATAAACTGGATCCAACTAAGACATGTGCTGTATAACAATGTTTTGGTCGAGTATGAACCATTTATACAGTGGTTGTCCCATAAGATTATTATATTGTATTTTATGGCACCTTATCTATGTTTAGATATGGTTAGACTTACGAATACTTATCACTGTGTTCCAATTGCTTATGGTATTCAGTACAGTAACATATATACATGTTTATGGCCTAGGATAATGGGCTACCATACAGCCTAGGTGTATGGTAGGCTGTATCATCTAGGTTTGCACAATGATGAAATTAACTAATGACACCTTTCTCAGAATGTATTTTTTTTCCTTCAACTTTTATTCTAAGTTCTGGGGTACATGTGAGGGATGTGCAGTTTTGTTACATAGGTAAATGTGTGCCACGGTGGTTTGCTGCACAGGTCAGCCCATCACCTTGGTATTAAGCCCAGCATCCATTAGCTATTCTTCCTGATATTCTCCCTCCTCATGCCTCCACCAGAGCCCCGGCCAGGTCCCATCTCAGAATGTATTGTCGTTAAGTGACACATGGCCGTAGTTGCACTGAAACAGCTGATACTCTCTCTACCGGGTCTTTCTCTCCCTGTGATTTCTTTTCCTCTCTGCAGAGAAAAGCAACTAGCCAGGTTTGTTTAGAAGCCAGCGGTGACCTAAAAGAGTGAAAGTCAAGGCAAGTTCTCTGAAGGCTTAGCCTTGAGGACGCATGACATTGCTTCTGTTGCATTCTATTGGTCAAAACAAGTCATGAGGCCAGGCCAGATTCAAGGTCTGAGAAAATAGATTTCACCTCCTGTTGGAAGGGGCATCAGTCATGTTGCAAAAGGGCTTGGACACCAAGAAGCAAATATGTTAAGGGATATTATTAAAATAATCTAACCCAAACTCCCTTTTACAAAATCAGTATTATATTTTTCTCCTTAATAATTTAAGTCATCCCTCAAGTAATTATGCTGAGTCTATGGAACACATGGAGCCAGACAAGAGAAATAAGAGAAAGAATAACCTGCTTAGATGGTCAGATTCCTCAAATCAGTCCTGGCAACAGATGGAACAGGAGTGATCACAACCATATAACTCACAGCTGCGTCATTACTGTCCATCTTCAAGGCTGATCTCAAGGAGATTTAACGAAGCAGCCAATGTTTTCTTTTAATGCCTTCAAATTTCTTAAAATGGATGATCACAGTGAAAAACAAAGGAGGCCTCAAAGTAGCCTGTAATTTGAAGTCTGCAAGGAAGCACTTGATTGACAGTTGAGTAGATCAAGTGGTTGGAAGTGAACAAGGCTCTCTGCTGTCATTCACAGTCATTGATCTTCTACAGTGCTTACAAGTAAGCCCAACCTCAGGTGTGTAGAGTTTTCCACTGAAAGCAAATTACTAGAATGAGATTTTAAAGCAGTTTTTCATATGGCCAACCAGAGCAACTGGTAGGACTGTGAGATTTCGAGTATTTATTGGCAATGGCCCTACCACATCACTAAGAATTATCAAAGTAAGCTAAAGAAAGTGTGGGCAAGAAAGGAAAACAATCTGACTTCCATAAGGAACTGTCAATGCAAAAGAAACAGAAAAGGGAAGAGCAATTCTATTTCACCAGTTCTAATCCATGAGCTTGGTTTTCCTCATAGAAAGGAAGAATGAAACATCAAATCTTCTGGAAATAGCTGTAATCTATTTTCAGGGAGATAGACAATAGCAGCAATTGTGAAACGAGATCAGGACAAATTCTGTGACAAATACTCATTGGAATCTTGAGTAGTAGAATTAATGCTTCAAAAACAGATTAATGAAACAGAAAACAGACTCTATACATATACAAGCTGCAAAAGAAAATAATAAAAAATGACAATTCAAGAGAGGATAGCAAAATTATAGAAGACAGAACATGAAGAAGCAACCCAAGATTAATCAGATTTCCAAAAGGAGGGTATGAAACAAAAGGTAGAAATTTATCAAGAGTGTAATTGAAGAAAACTTTCCAGAACTTAAAGGCTAAAAACAAAAAATTGATACTTAGCTTCCAGAAGAAAAATAATAAGCAGACTTCAGCATCAGAATACATTCTAGTGACATTTAATCATCAAGAGAAAAAACATCCTTATATTTGAACTAGAAAGAAAAAAAAAGACATGTTTGCGAAAGTAATTTTTTTTAAAGGGTACCTTAAGATATATAAATGGTTAGAAGAACCAGGTTTGGCATTACTGATTTCTTAGGGGAGAGAAGGACACATAGTTCTATAGAAATAAAAATCATGGATCATATTGAAAATTGGCAGAAAGACCTACATTTGTAAAGTCTCAAATTTTTACCATCAATTTCTCTTTTTGCAGAAAAAGGGAGGTTGCAATCTAGAAAGAAATCTCTGGTTTACCTGCATTGCCCTCCACTGCTTTATAATGTTTGTTCTCACTAGGGACTACACATAATCTAGTTGCAAAGTCCAGTGGTCAGTTTTCACTACAGATGTTATTTGACTATGCTGTGGACTTTGAACTTTCTATAGAAATAAAAATATTACCCACTTCTCCATTGAAAACATTTTCTGCCTTGGTTTCGGCATCATTTCCCTCTATGGGTTGAGCAACTCTAACTTGAAAATTAAAAATCTGAAATGCTCCAAAATTTGAATTTTTTAATTCATACATAATAATTGTACATATTTATGGGATACATGTGATATTTCAATACATGCATATAATATATAATCATCAAATCAGGGCAATTGGGATATCCAGAAACTCAAACATTTATCATTTCTTTGGGTTGCAAGATTCCAAATCTTTTCTTTGAGCTATTTTGAAATATACAATAAATTATGGTTAACTACAGTCACCTACTGTGCTACTAGAACTTTTTCCTTCCATCTAACTGTATTTTTGTACCCATTAACTAACCTTCCTTCATCCTCCCATCCCCTTTACCCTCCCCAGCCTCTGGTACATACCAGAATGGTAACTAGCATTCTACTCTCTACCTCTATAAGGTCAACTGTTTTAGTTCCCACACATGAGTGAGAACATGCAATATTTGTCTCTCTGTGCCTGGTTTATTTCAGTTAACATAATGTCTTCCAGGCTCATCCATGTTACTGCAAATAACAGGATTTTGGTTTTTTAATGGCTGAATAGTATTCCATTGTGTATATATGGCACATTTTCTTTATTCATTCACTTGTTGATGTACACTTAGGTTTATTTCATACCTTGGCTATTGAGAATAGTTCTGCAATGAACATGGGAATGCAGACATCTCTTTGACATACTGATACCTTTTCTTTTCTTTCTTTTTTCTTTTTTTGGCTATATACCCAGCAGTGGGAATTGCTGGATCATATGGTAGCTCTATGTTTAGTTTTTTAAGGAATCTCCATAATGTTTTCCATGATAGCTATGCTAATTTGCATTCCCACCAACAGCGTATGAGAGTTCCATTTGCTCCACATTCTCACCAGCATTTGTTATTTTTTGTCTATTTGATAATAGCCATATTAACTGAGGTGAGATGATATATCACTGTGGTCTTGATGTGCATTTCTCTGATAGTTAATTATGTTGAAGTTTTTTTCATATACCTGTTGGCCCTCTGTATGTCTTCTTTGAGAAACATCTATTCAGATCATTTGCCCATTTTAAAAGTCAGATTGTTATTTTGCTATTGAGTCGTTTGAGTCCCTTATATATCCCGGTTAGTAATCCATTGTCAGATGGATAGTTTGCAAATATTACTCTCATTCTGTAAGTTGTCTTTTCACTCTGATTGTTTCCTTCCTGTGCAGAAGATTTTTAGCTTGATGTAACCCTATTTGTTTTTGCTTTTGTTGCTTCTGATTTTTGCCTATAAAATCTTTGCCCAGACCAATGTTCTGAAGCATTTCCCTGATGTTTTCATCTCGTAGTTTCATAGTTTCAGGTTTTACATTTAAGTCTTTAATCCCCAAGATCTGAACATTTTTAAGTGCGGATATGATACCAAAAGTGGAACATTCCACACCTGACCTCATGTGAAGGGTCGAAGTCAAAACACAGTTAAAACTTTTTTTACATAAAAAAATTGTTTAAAATTGTATAAAATGACCTTCAGACTATGTGTATAAAGTGTATATCAAACATTAATGAATTTTGTGTTTCGACTTGGGTCCTGTCCCCAAGATATCTCATTTTACATATATTTTTATATATTTCATATAATATATAAATATATTTTAATATATATTAATATATATAACCACATATTATATATACATAATTGCATATATATGCAAATATTCCAAAATCTGAAATCTGAAACACTTCTGGTTCCAAGCATTTCAGATAAGGGATACTCAAACCTGTACTGTAGGGATAGTCATAAGAATAACCTGACAACTTTTTCAAAAAATTAGATTCTCAGGTCTCACTTCCAAAGGTTGATTCTTAAGGTCTGGGCTGGAGCCCAGGAATCCAGCAAGCATCTCATCTCAAGTACATCTGAACCTGCAGACACCTTTGAGAAACAAGCTTTATTAGTCTTCTGCCTACTCCACTGGTGGCTTCTCACTCTTTCTTTGGCTCCCCATACAACAGCCTCTTGAGAACAGGTCATCTTTAGGATTTGGCGCTTACCCTGCTGAGGCTCTCCAGTCTATGTAGTACTTATGGGGATAATGGGGCTTACAATTCAAGCTGAGATTTGGCGGGGACACAAAGGTTAACGATATTATTGGAACAACATGGATGATTTCATGTTTGAGAAATTCTAGAACACACAGCATAATCTTTAATTACAGAAAGCAGATTTGTGGTTTTCTGGGCCAAAGAGTGGGGTGATGCTGACTGATAAAGAGGTGAAAAATTGTTTGGGATGATAGAAATGTTCTATATCTTGATTATGATGGTGGTAACAAGACTATATACATTTTTCCAAACTCATAGAACTCTATACTGAAATAGATGCCTTTTATCATGTATAAATTATTCCTTAATAAAGTTTATTTTAAAATAAAAACTTTTAAGAAGAGTTGCAAAATTTTCAAACATAATATTAATATATGAAAATCTGATAAACGGCTAATATCCAGAATCTACAATGAACTCAAACAAATTTACAAGAAAAAAACAACCCCATCAAAAAGTGGGCGAAGGACATGAACAGACACGTCTCAAAAGAAGACATTTATGCAGCCAAAAAAACACATGAAAAAATGCTCATCATCACTGGCCATCAAAGAAATGCAAATCAAAACCACAATGAGATACCATCTCACACCAGTTAGAATGGCAATCATTAAAAAGTCAGGAAACAACAGGTGCTGGAGAGGATGTGGAGAAATAGGAACGCTTTTACACTGTTGGTGGGACTGTAAACTAGTTCAACCATTGTGGAAGTCAGTGTGGCGATTCCTCAGGGATCTAGAACTAGAAATACCATTTGACCCAGCCATCCCATTACTGGGTATATACCCACAGGATTATAAATCATGCTGCTATAAAGACACATGCACACGTATGTTTATTGAGGCACTATTCACAATAGCAAAGACTTGGAACCAGCCCAAATGTCCTTATGTGATAGACTGGATTAAGAAAATGTGGCACATATACACCATGGAATACTATGCAGCCATAAAAAAGGATGAGTTCATGTCCTTTGTAGGGACATGGATGAAACTGGAAACCATCATTCTCAGCAAACTATTGCAAGGACAAAAAACCAAACACCGCATGTTCTCATTCATAGGTGGGAATTGAACAATGAGAACACATGGACACAGGAAGGGGAACATCACACTCTGGGGACTGTTGTGGGGTTGGGGGGAGGGGGGAGGGATAGCATTTGGAGATATACCTAATGCTAAATGACGAGTTAATGGGTGCAGCACACCAACATGGCACATGTATACATATGTAACTAACCTGCACATTGTGCACATGTACCCTAAAACTTAAAGTATCATAATAATAAAATTAAAAAAATAAAAGAACTGAAATAATAAAAGAAATCAGTAAAAAAAAATCATTTGTTTTGATTTACACATATCAGATAGTTAGAAACTAATTTCCATAAACTATTATAGCAGCACCAACAACAATAACAAAATAGCCCCTGGGACCAAATCTAACAAACAAGTTTCCGTCTTTAATGAAGAAAATTATAGAAACATTCTGAGAGGCATTTAAGAAGACCTAAATAAAGACATATAATGTGCTATTAATGTTGTAGAGATGTCAATCTTACCCCATATTTTATAATTCAATGCAATTACAATAGGATTTTCCTTAGAGCCTAACAAGTTGATTCTAAATTTGATGAGGAATAGCAAAATGACAAAACTTAAAAGTGTAGAATTTGCTGCATCGTATATATAAACTTTATATGACACTGAAGTAATTATGTCAGCCAGGCATTGTTTCAACACTGGCCAAATGGGGAAGCAGACATTGAAGAAAGGATAGACTACTACTTAATAGTTTTGAGACAATTGTTTATTCATACACGAAAAATGAACTTGGATCTCTATCTTACACAATACAGAGGGATAAATATCATGTAGATTCAAGGTTTAACTGCGAATAGTTTTTGGTAGAATAGCCTTTTAACATTGGCTTTTAAATCCAGGAAAGATTTCTTCTGAGATTCATTTGGAGTTAAAAATTGATATTCAAATTATTAAAATAATGAATTAAAACTCCATGTATTCCTTAAACCTAAAAATCTTATTATTCAATGTTTAAATCTAGCCAATGTTAGAAATGTTTTTAAGTTGTCATTAGAAAATGTTTGGTCTGTTAAAAGCTTAGCTAAGTAAACACCTTCAAATATTTTAAGCATTTACATTTATACATCTATCATTTTTAATTTTCTTCCTAAATTAGTTATCTGAGTTCAACCAAAATTTTCCTAGACCTGAAGTTAACTCTCACAAGCTAATATCAAAGTCAGGAATATGTTGAGTGGAAGTTATCTTAGGTGTTTCAAAATTGTTTATAAACTTAGATTTTACTTTAAGATCATAAATTTGAATCCAGTTATTCTATTTTACATTTTAAATTCGAACTATATGCTCTGATAAGCCTAATTGTACTTAAAATTATAAATACATAAAATACCAAGTTAAATATAAAACTTAAACTTTCTATGCATAACCTCAAATCTTCCCAGAGTTAAATATGTTTATGCCAGGGAAAATAGTCACATCTAGCTCCTTGAAGTTTTGGATGACAGTAGATTTGGGCTACAGATAGCGTAGACTGTAGATATCAGAAGGTCCCTCTCCCTGACTTTTCTGTCATACCAAGCCCTTTTTTAATGTCACTGTATCATGAGCTTCAAAACTTTTAAATAAAGAGCCCTTGTTCAGGAGTGTAGGTTATACATATTATCTGCTTTATTACCTACTCAAAATAGTCTCCAATTCACCTCTTCAACTTAATTTGATTTTTTATTACTTTGGCTCTGAGATAGAAAGCTATATGTATTTTTCAGTATAACTCTAAAGACATTTGAATTAGATATCACAAAATATATAAATTTTCTTTTTTAAAATTATTTTTAAAATTTGTGTGGGTATGTAACAGGTATGTTTATGGGCTATATGAGATATTTTGGTACAGGCATGCATTGTATAATTACATAATAAAAATTGGATATGCACCCCCTTGAGCATTTATCCTTTGTGTTACAAACAAGTTATGCTCTTTTAGTTATGTTTAAATGCATAATTAAATTACGATTGACTGTTGTCACCCTATTGTGCTATCAAATACTAGATCTTATTCATTCTAACTACTTTTTTCTGTACCCATTAACCATCCCCACCTTCCCTGTCACACCTCCACTATCCTTCCCAGCTTCTGGAAACCATCCTTCCATCCTCTATGTCCATGAGTTCAATTGTTTTGATTTTTAGATCCCACAAATAAGTGAGGACATGCGATTGTGCCAAGCTTATTTCACTTAACATAATGATTTCCAATTTCATCTATGTTGTTGAAAATGATAGGATCTCCTCCTTTTTTAAATGGCTGAATAGTCTTCCATTGTGTAATATACCATGTTTTCTTTATCCATTTCTCTGGTGATAGATACTTAGATTGCTTCCAAATCTTGGCTATTGTGAACAGTACTGCAACAAATTTGGGAGTGCAGATTCTTCTGGCCATATACCCAACAGTGGGATTGCGGGATCATATGGTAGATGTATTTTTAGTTTTTTGAGGAACCTCCAAACTCTTCTCCATAGTGGTTGTACTAATTTACATTCCTACCAACAGTGTATGAGTGTTCCCTTTTCTCCACATCCTCACCAGCATTTGTTATTGTCTGTCTTTTGAATATAAGCCATATTAACTGGGCTGAGCAGATATCTCACTGTAGTTTTGATTTGCATTTCTCTGATCAGTGATGTTGAGCACTTTTTCATATGCCTGTTTACCACCCTAATGTCTTCTTTTGAAAAATTTCTATTCAAAGCTTTTGCCCATTTTTAAATTAACTTATTAGATTTTTTTCTACAGTGTTTGAGCTCTTTATATATTCTGGTTATTCATCCCTTGTCAGATGGGTAGATTGCAATTTTTTCCCCATTCTGTGGGTTATCTCTTCACTTTGTTGACTGTGTCCTTTGCTGTGCAGAAGCTTTTTAACTCGATGTGATTCCATTTGCCCATTTTCGGTTTGTTTGCTTGTACTTTTTGGGTATTACTCAAGAAATTTTTCCCTGGTCCAGTGCCCTAGAGTTTCTGTAATGTTTTTCTTACAGTACTTTCATAGATTGAGACCTTACTTAAGTATTTAATCCATTCTTATTTGATTTTCAAGGTAAGAGATAGGGGTCAAGTTTCGTTTTTCTGCATATGGATATCCAGTTTTCCCAGCACCATTTATTGAACGGATTGTCTTTTCCCCAGTATATGTTCTTGGCACCTTTGTCAAAAACGAGTTCACAGTAGGTGTGTGGATTTATTTCTGGGTTATCCGTTCTGTTCTATTGGTCTATGTATGTGTTTACATGCCAATACCATGCTGATTTTGTTACTATGGCTTTATAGTGTAACTGAAATCAGGTGATGTGATTCTTTTACTTTTGCTTAGGGTAAGTTTGGCTATTCTGGGCCTTCTGTGGTTTCATAGAAATTTTAGGATTTTTTTTCTATTTAAAGAATGTCTTTTGTATTTTGATTTGGATTGCATTGAATCTATTGATTGCTTTGCATAATATGCACATTTTAACAATATTGATTCTCCCAATCCTTGAGCGTGGAGTAACTTTTCTTTTTTTGTGTCTTCAACTTCTTTCCTCAGTGTTTCATAGTTGCCATATAGAAATCTTTCACTTCTTCGGTTAAGTTAATCCTAGGTATTTAATTTTATATGTGGATATTGTAAATGAGATTACTTTTTTGAATTTTTTCAGATTGTTCACTACTGGCATTTAGTAACGCTACTGATTTTATTTTTTTAGTGTCGATTTAGTATCCTGTAACTTTACTAAATTTGTTTACCAGTTCTAATAGTTTTTGGTGGAGTCATTAGGTTTATACAAATATAAGATCATATCATCTGCAAACAAGGATAATTTGACTTCTTTCTTTCCAATTTGGATGTCCTTTATTTCTTTCTCTTGTCGGATTGCTCTAGCTAGAACTTCCAGTACTATGTTGAATAATAGTGGCAAAAGCAGATATCCTTAAATCTCCAGATCTAAGGGGAAAGGCTTTCAGGTTTACCCCATTCAGTATGAGATGAGCTGTGGGTCTGTCATATATGGCTTTTATGATGTTTTCTGAGGGCTTTTATATAAAGGGATGTTGAATTTTATCAAATGCTTTTTCAGTATCATTTGAAATGATCATATAGTTTTTGTCCTTCGTTCTGTTAATATAATATATCACATTGATTTGCATATGTTGAACCATCTTTGCTTCCCCGGGATAAATCCCACTTGGTCAGGATGAACAATCTTTTTAATGTATTCTTAAATTCTATTTGCTATTATTTTGTTGAGGATTGTTAAATTAGCATTCATCCGATACATTGGCCTGTATTTTTTATTTTGTTTTGTTTTTTTGATGTGACTTGGTATGGGTTTGGTATCAGGGTAATATTGGCCTCATAGAATTAGTTTAGAAGTATTCTCTTCTCCTATATTTGTTGGAAGAGTTTGAGTAGAGTCGGTAGTAGTTCTATAAATGTTTGGTAGAATTCAGCAGTGAAGCCATCAAGTCTTGGGTTTTTCTTTACTGGGAAACATAACAGCTTTGATGTAATTACTTGTCATTGGTCTGTTGGGGTTTTGATTTCTTCATGGTTCAATCTTAGTAGGATGTATGGGTCTAGGAATTTATCCATTTCTACTAGACTTTCCAATTTATTGTCATATAGTTGCTCACAGTATCCACTAATGATCCTTTGAATTTGGGTAGTATCAGTTGTAATGTCTCCTTTTTCATCTCTAATTTTATTTACTTGGGTCCTCTTCTTTTTTTTCTTTGTTAGTCACAGTTTTGTTTATCTTTTCAAGAAACTAAATTTTTGTTTAATTGGTTTTTTTGTATTAAGTTCAAATTTATTTATTTCTGCCCTGATCTTTATTATTTCTTCTACTAATTTTGGGTTCAGTTGTTCTTGCTTATCTAGTTTTTAAGATGCATCATTATATTATTTATTTTTATTATACTTTAAGTTCTGGGGTGCATGTGCAGAACGTGCAGGTTTGTTACATAGGTATACAAGTACCATGGTGGTTTGCTGCACCCATCAACCTGTCATCTACATTAGGTATTTCTCCTAATGCTATCCCTCCCCTGGCCCCCCAACCCCATGACAGGCTCTGGTGTGTGATGTTCCCCTCCCTGTGTCCATGTGTTCTCATTGTTCAACTCCCACTTGTGAATGAGAACATGTGGTGTTTGGTTTTCTGTTCTTGTGTTAGTTTGCTGAGAATGATGGTTTCCAGCATTATCCATGTCCCTGCAAAGGACATGAACTCATCCTTTTTTATGACTGCATAGTATTCCCTGGTGTATATGTGCCACATTTTCTTTATCCAGTCTATCATTGATGGACATTTGGATTGGTTCCAAGTCTTTGCTATTGTGAACAGTGCCACAATAAAAATACATGTGCATGTGTCTTTATAGTAGAATTATTTATAATCCTTTGGGTATATACCCAGTAATGGGATCACTGGGTCAAATGGTATTTCTAGTTCTAGATCCTTGAGGAATTGCCACACTGTCTTCCACAATGGTTGAACTAATTTATACTCCCACCACCAGTGTAAAAGCATTCCCATTTCTCCACATCCTCTTCAGTATCTGTCGTTTCCTGACTTTTTAATGATTGTCATTCTAACTGGTGTGAGATGGTATCTCATTGTGGTTTTGATTTGCATTTCTCTAATGACCAGTGATGATGAGCATTTTTTCATATGTTTGTTGGCTGCGTAAGTGTCTTCTTTTAAGAAGTGTCTGTTCATATCCTTCACCCACTTTTTGATGGGGTGGTTTTTTTCTTGTAAGTTTGTTTAAGTTCTTTGTAGATTCTGGACATTAGCCCTTGTCAGGTGGATAGATTTCAAAATTTTTCTCTCGTTCTGTAGGTTGCCTGTTCACTCTGATGATAGTTTCTTTGGCTGTGCAGAAGCTCTTTAGTTTAATTAGATCCCATTTGTCTATTTTGGATTTTGTTGCTGTTGCTTTTGGTGTTTTAGTCATGAAATCTTTGCCAATGCCTATGTCCTGAATGGTATTGGCTAGGTTTTCTTCTAGGGTTTTATGGTTTTAGGTCTTACATTTAAGTCTTTAATCCATCTTGAGTTAATTTTTGTATAAGGTCTAAGGAAGAGATCCAGTTTAGGCTTTCCGCATACGGCTACCCAGTTTTCCCAACACCATTTATTAAATAGGGAATCCTTTCCCCATTGCTTGTTTTTGTCAGGTTTGTCAAAGATCAAATGGTTGTAGATGTGTGGTGTTATTTCTGAGCCTGTGTTCTGTTCCATTGGTCTATGTATTTGTTTTTCTACCACTACCATGCTGTTTTTGTTACTGTAGCCTTGTAGTATAGGTTGAAGTCAGGTAGCATGATGCCTCCAGCTTTGTTCTTTTGGCTTAGGATTGTCTTGGCTATGTGGGCTCCTTTTTGGTTCCATATGAAATTTAAAGTAGTTTTTTCCAATTCTGTGAAGAAAGTCACTGGTAGCTTGATGGGAATAGTATTGAATCTATAAATTACTTTGGGCAGTATGGCCATTTTCATGATATTGACTCTTCCTATTCATGAGCATGGAATGTCTGCATTTGTTTGTGTCCTCTCTTATTTCCTTGAGCAGTGGTTTGTAGTTGTCCTTGAAGAGGTCCTTCACATCCCTCGTTAGTTGCATTCCTACGTATTTTATTCTCTTTTTGGCAATCGTGAGTGAGAGTTCACTCATGATTTGGCTCTCTGTTATATGGTGTATAGGAATGCTTGTGATTTTTGCACGTTTATTTTGTATCCAGAGACTTTGCTGAGGTTGCTTATCAGCTTAAGGAATTTTTGGGCTGAGACGATGGGGTTTTCTTAATATACAATCATGTCATCTGCAAACAGAGACAATTTGACTTCCTCTTTTCCTAATTGAATACCCTTCATTTCTTTCTCTCACCTGATTGCCCTGGCCAGAACTTCCAATACTATGTTGAATAGGAGTGGTGAGAGAGGGCATCCTTGTCTTGTGCCAGTTTTCAAAGGGAATGCTTCCAGTTTTTGCCCATTCAGTACATTGGCTGTGGGTTTGTCATAAATAGCTCTTATTATTTTGAGATACATTTTATCAGTGCCTAGTTTATTGAGAGTTTTTAGCATGAAGGGCTGTTGAATTTTATCGAAGGCCTTTTCTGCATCTATTGAGATAATCATGTGGTTTTTGTCATTGGTTCTGTTTACGTGATGGTTTACGTTTATTGATTTGCATATGTTGAACCAGCCTTGCATCCCAGGGATGAAGCCAACTTGATCATGTTGGGTAAGCTTTTTGATGTGCTGCTGGATTTGGATTGCGAGTATTTCATTGAGGATTTTCGCATTGATGTTCATCAGGGATATTGGCTTTTTTTGTTGTGTCTCTGCCAGGTTTTGGTATCAGGATGATACTGGCCTCATAAAATGAGTTAGGGAGGATTCCTTCTTTTTCTATTGTTTGGAATAGTTTCAGAAGGAATGATGCCAGCTCCTTTTTGTACCTCTGGTAGAATTCAGCTGTGAATCTGTGTGGTCCTGGACTTTTTTTGGTTGGTAGGCTATTAATTATTGCATTAATTTAAGAACTTGTTATTGGTCTATTCAGGGATTTGATTTCTTCCTGGTTTAGTTTTAGGAGGGTGTATGTGTCCAGGAATTTATCCATTTCTTCTAAGTTTTCTAGTTTATTTGTGTAGGGGTGTTTATAGTATTCTCTGATGGTAGTTTCTGTTTGTGTGGGACCGGTGGTGATATCCCCTTTATCATCTTTTATTGCATCTATTTGATTCTTCTCTCTTTTCATCTTTATTAGTCTAGCTAGTGGTCTATCTATTTTGTTGATCTTTTCAAAAAAACCAGCTTCTGGATTCATTGATTTATTTTAAGGGTTTTTTATGTCTCTATCTCCTTAATTTCTGATCTGATCTTAGTTATTTCTTGTCTTCTGCTAGCTTTTGAATTTATTTTCTCTTGCTTCTCTAGTTCTTCTAATTGTGATGTTAGGGTGTTGATTTTAGATCTTTCCTGCTTTCACTTGTGGGCATTTAGAGCTATAAATTTCCCTCTACATACGGCTTTAAATGTGTCCCAGAGATTCTGGTACATTGTGTCTTTGTTCTCATTGGTTTCGAAGAACATCTTTATTTCTGCCTTAATTTTGTTATATACCCAGTAGTCATTCAGGAGCAAGTTGTTCAGTTTCCATGTAGTTGTGTGCTTTAGAGTGAGTTTCTTAATCCTGAGTTGTGGTTTGATTGCACTGTGGTCTGAGAGACTGTTATGATTTCCGTTCTCTTGCACTTGCTGAGGAGTGTTTTACTTCCAATTATGTGGTCAATTTTAGAATAAGTGCAATGTGGTGGTAAGAAGAATGTATGTTCTGTTGATTTGGGGTGGAGAGTTCTGTAGATGTCTATTAGGTCCACTTGGTCCAGAGCTAAGTTCAAGTCCTGCATATCCTTGTTAATTTTCTGTCTCACTGATCTGTCTAATATTGACAGTGGGGTGTTAAAGTCTCCCACTATTATTGTGTGGGAGTCTAAATCTCTTTGTAGATCTCTAAGAACTTGTTTTATGAATCTGGGTACTCCTGTATTGGGTGCATATACATTTAGGATAGTTAGCTCTTCTTGTTGCATTGATCCTTTTATCATTATGCAATGCCCTTCTTTGCCTCTTTTGATCTTTGTTGGTTTAAAGTCTAGGATTGCAAACCCTGCTTTTTTTTTTGCTTTCCATTTGCTTGGTAAATATTCCTCCATCCCTTTATTTTGAGCCTATGTATGTCTTTGCACATGAAATGGGTCTCATGAATACAGCACACTGATGGATCTTGACTCTTTATCCAATTTGCCAGTCTGTGTCTTTTAATTGGGGCATTTAGCCCATTTACATTTAAGGTTAATATTGTTATGTGCAAATTCGATCCTGCCATTATGATGCTAGCTGGTTATTTTGCCCATTAGTTGATGCGTTTGCCTCATAGCATCCATGGAACAATTTGGTATGTTTTTGCAGTGGCTGGTTCCAGTTGTTCCTTTCCATGTTTAGTGCTTCCCTTAGGAGCTCTTATAAGGCAGGCCTGGTGGTGATAAAATCTCTCAGCATTTGCTTGTCTGTAAAGGATTTTATTTCTCCTTCACTTATGAAGCTCAGTTTGGCTGGATATGAAATTCTGGGTTGAAAATTCTTTAAGAATGTGGAATATTGGCCCCCACTGTCTTCTGGCTTGTAGGGTTTCTGCCAAGAGATCTGCTGTTACTCTGATGGGCTTCCCTTTGTGGGTAACCTGACCTTTCTCTCTGGCTGCCCTTAACATTTTTTCTTTCATTTCACCCCTGGTGAATCTGATTATTATGTGTCTTTGGGTTGCTCTTCTCAAGGAGTATCTTTGTGGTGGTCTCCGTATTTTCTGAATTTGAATGTTGGCCTGTCTTGCTAGGTTGGGGAAGTCCTCCTGGATAATATCCTGAAGAGTGTTTTCCAACTTGGTCCATTCTCCCCATCACTTTCAGGTACACCAATGAAAAGTAGATTTGGTCTTTACATGTAGTCCCATATTTCTCGGAGGCTTTGTTCATTTCTTTTCACTCTTTTTTCTCTAACGTTGTCTTCTTGCTTTATTTCATTGAGTTGATTTTCAATCTCTGATATCTTTTCTTCCACATGATCCATCAGCTATTGATACTTGTGTATGCTTCATGAAGTTCTCATGATTTTTTTTCAGCTCCCTCAGGTCATTTATGTTCTTCTCTAAACTGGTTACTCTAGTTAGCAATTCATGTAACCTTTTTTCAAGGTTCTTAGCTTCCTTGCATTGGGTTAGAACATGCTCCTTTATCTCAGAGGAGTTTGTTATTACCCACCTTCTGAAGCCTACTTCTGTCAATTTGTTAAACTCATTCTCCGTCCAGTTTTGTTTCCTTACTGGCAAGGAGTTGTGATCCTTTGTAGGAGAAGCAGCATTCTGGTTTTTGGAATTTTCCATCTTTTTGCGCTAGTTTCTCCTCATTTTTGTGGATTTACCTACCTTTGGTCTTTGGAGTTGGTGACCTTCAGATGGGGTCTCTGGGTAGACATCTTTTTTGTTCATGTTGATACTACTCATTTCTGTTACTTGAAGTTTTTCTTCTTTTCTGACGTAAGCACTTATAGCTATAAATTTTCCTCTTATTACTACTTTCACTATATTCCATAGGTTTTAGAATGTTGTGTTTCCGTTATTATTTGTTGCAAAAGGTTTTTCAATTTCCTTCTTAATTTCCTTATTCACTCACTAGTCATTTAGGAGCATATTTAATTTCTGTGTATTTGTAGTTTCCAAAATTTCTCGTTATTGATTCCTAGTTTTATTCCATTGTGGTCAGAGAAAGTGCTTAATATTATTCCAGTTTTTTAGAATGTTTTAAGACTTGTGACCTAACATAGGTCTTTCCTTGAGAATGATCCATATACTAAGGAGAAGAATGTGTATTCTGCAGCTATTGAATGAAATGTTCTATAAATATTTATTAGGTCCATTTGTACAGTGAAGATTAAGTCTGATGTTTCTTTGTTGATTTATCTGTCTGAGAGGTTAGTCCAATGCTCAAAGTAGTGCTTTGAAGTAGTGTGGCTATTACTATATTGGGGTCTGTCACTGTCTTTAGCTCCAATATTTGCTTTATATATCTGGGTGCTTCAGTGTTGGGTGCATATATATTTACAATTGTTATTATTTTCTTACTGAATTGACTCCTATATCGTTAATATAATGGCTTCTTTGTCTCTTCTTACAATATTTTTCTTGAAATCTATTTTGTCTAATATAAGTGTAGCTACTCTTGCTCTTTTTGGTTCCATTGTCATGGAATATCTTTTTCTGTCTATTTTCAGTGTATATGTGTCTTTATAGGTGAAGTGTGTTTCTTATAGGCAAAAGATCACTGGGTCTTGTTTTTTTCATCCATTCAGCTATTCTATGTCATATTATTGGAAAGTTTAGTACATTTACATGCAATGTTATTATTGATAAGTAGAGACTATCTCCTGCCATTTTAAAAATTTGTTTCTGATTGCTTTGTGGTCTTCTCTTTCTTCTTTCCTTCCTTCCTGTCTTTCTTTTAGTGAAGGTGATTTTCTCTGGTGATATGATTTAATTTCTTCCTTTTTATTTTTTGTGTATTTGTTTTTTGATTTGAGGTTATCAAGAGGCTTGCAAATATTATAATCCATTATTTTCGACAGATGACATCGCCAATTACATAAACACACAAAAATGTGCAAAAAGAAAACTAATAAAACTTTACACTTAAACTTCATCCTCCTGCTTTTTAACTTTCTCTTTATGTCTGATGTATTTATTTATTTATTTAATGACAAGGTCTTGCTTTGTCATCCAGGCTGGAGAGCAGCAGCATGATCACAGCTCACTGCAGCCTCACCCTCCAGGGCTCAAGTGACACTCCCACCTCAGCCTCCCAAGTAGCTGGGACTCTAGGCACACAATATCACACCTGGTTAATTTATTATTATTGTATTTCTTAAAGAGACAGGATTTCTGTTGCTCAGGGTGTTCTTGAACTCCTGGGCTCAAACAATCTACCCACCTTGGCCTCTCAGAGTGCTGGGATTACAGGGATGAGCCACCACACCTGGCTTCTTTATGTTTTATTGTACTGTCTATGCCTCAAATAGTTGTGGTAGTTATTATATTTGATTGGCTTATCATTCAGTCTTTCTACTTAAGACAAGAGTAGTTTACACGCCTCAATTACAGTGTTATCCTATTCTGTGTTTTTCTGTGTGCTTACTAATACCAGTGAGTTTTGTACCTTCAGATGATTTATTCTTGCTCATTAACATCTTTTTCTTTCAAATTCAAAACTTGACTTTAGCATTTCTTGTAGAACAGGTCTGGTATTAATGAAAGCTCTCCTCTTTTCTTTGTCTGGGAAAGTCTTTATTTCTACTTCATGTTTGAAGGATATTTTCACCGGATATACTATTCTAGGTAAAAGGTATTTTTTTCCTTCAGCACTTTAAATATGTCATGCCACTCTCTCCTAGCCTTTAAGGTTTCCACTGAATAGCCTGCTGCCAGATGTATTGGAGCACCATTGTTTGTTATTTGTCCCTTTTCTCTTCCTGCTTTTAGGATACTTTATCCTTGACCTTTGGGAGTTTGATTATTAAATGTCTTGAGGTAATCTTCTTTGGGTTAAATCTGTTTGGTGTTCTACAACCTTGTACTTGGATACTGACCTTTTTCTTTAGGTTTGGGAATTTCTCTGTTACTAACCTTTGAATAAACTTTCTACCCTATCTTGTTCTCTATCACCTCTTTAAGGCTAGTAACTCTTAGATTTGCCCTTTTGAGGCTATTTTCTATACCTGGTAGGCCTGCTTCATTGTTTTTTCACCTGTTTTCTTTTGTCTCCTCTGACTGTGTATTTTCAAATAGCCTGTCTTCAAGCTCACTAATCCTTCTGTTTGATCAGTTCTGCTATTAAGAGTCTCTGCTGTATTATTCATTATGCCAGTTGCATTTTTAGCTCCAAAATTCCTGCTTGATTATTTTTGATTATTTCAATCTCCTTATTGAATTTGATAGAATTCAGAATTCCTTCTGTGTTATCTCAAATTTCTTTGAGCTATCTAAAAAAAAAAAACTATTTAAAATTCTCTATCTGATAGGTCTTACATCTCTGTTTTTGAAAGATTGATTCCTGGTGCCTTGTTTAGTTCATTTGGTAGGGTCATGCTTTCCTGGATGGTGTTGATGTTTGTAGATAATTGCTGGTATCTGAGCATCGAAGAACTAGGTATTTATTGTAGTCTTCATAGTCTGAGCTTATTTGTCCCTGTCCTTCTTGAGAAGCTTTCCAGGTATTCAAAAAAACTTGGGCCCCAAGCCCAATAATGCTGTGTTTTTGTATGCTTATAGAGATACACCATGGTGGTCTTGGATAAGATCTGACAAATTTCTCTGGATTACAAGGCAGAAATTTTGTTCTTTCCCTTTACTTTCTCTCAAACAAAGTCTGTCTGTGTTGAGCCACCAGGAACTGGGGGTGTGGTGATATACACACCCCTGTGGCCACCAACACTGGGACTGCACTGGGTCAGACCTGAAGCCAGCACAGTACTATACCTTACCCAAGACTCTTTGCTTCAGGGCAGCAAGTTCCCCCAGAAGCCAGGTATGTCCAGGATGCTGTCTGGGAGCCAGGAACTGGAATAAAAAACCTTAGCAATTTTCCTAATGTTCTAGTCTACTGTGGCTAAGCTGGAACTCAAGCCACAATACAAAGTCCTTCCCATTCTTCCCTCACCTTTCCACAAGCAGAGGAGCCTCACCCTGTGGCCACCGCCACTACTGGTCTGTGGAGGGTTCTGTCACTCTACCACCAATGTTCACTTAAAGCCCAAGGTCTCTTCCATCAGCTGATGGTAAATGCTGCCAGGCCTCGGACTCACCCTTCAGGGCAGTGCACTCCCCTCTCACCCAGGGAATTTCCAGAAGTTCTTTCCAGGAGCCTAGGCCTGGACTCAGGGACCACAAGAATCTGCTTGTTTCTCTGCTCCACTGTGGCTGAGCTGGTACCTAAGATACAAGACAAAGTCCCCTTTACTTTTCCCTCTGCTTTTCCCAAACAGGAGTCTTTCACAATAGCTACCACAGCTGGGATTGTGCTGGATCACCCCTGAAGCCAGCACATCTCAGAGCCCAAGGTCCATGGTGTACTCCCTAGGTATTACTGCTGGTTATTAAGGGCCCAAGGTTCCTGTAGTTAGCAGGTGATGAATCTTGCCAGGAGTGAGTCCTTCCCTTCAAGTAAGTAGGTTTCCTTTTGGCACAGGGGGTGTGTAGAAATGTAATTTAGGAGCTAGGGGCTGAAATGGAGGCCTCATGACTCTGACTGGTTTGCCATCCTACTGTGGCTGACCTGGTATCCAAGATGCAAGACAAAATCCTCTTTACTCTTTGTTCTCCTCTCCTTAAGCAGAAAGAAGGAGTCATTTTCATTGCTGCAAGCTGCACTGCCTGGAGTTTGGGAAGGGGTGGTGCAAACACTCCCTTAGCTATGCCAGCTGGTGTTTCTCTAAGTCACATGTCACTTTAGTTCACTGTCTCTAAGCCCAGCCTAGCACTAGGAGTTGCCTAGGAATTGCAGTCCTGTGTCCTATACTGTCTTTCAAGTTTCCCTTGCACCCCAGAGCACTTCGACAAATGGTAGGGAGGCTTCCCAAGGAACTCAAGCTCTGACCACTGGGATGGGCAATTTTCCTCTGGCTAAGGCTGGTCCAAATGCTCCCTCCATGCGTGGGTACTGGTTGAGCCCAGCACGGCTTTATTCTCCACTGTGACGGGCAGCAATGAGTTCAACTGATGCTGTTACTGAGCTCTCACTCTCCAAAGTGCACAGATTCTCTCTGTGCCACACAGCTGCTATAGGGGAATCGGGGGTGTGCGTGACTTTGGAGATTCAAAACGGTCTCTCCTGCCTTCCTCAATGCCTTTTTCAGTGATATGAAGTTAAAACCAGGTAGTGTGATTACTCACCTGATTTTTGGTTCTTATGATGGTGCTTTTCTGTGTGCAGATAGTTGTTAAAATTTGATGTTCCAGCAGAGGGGACAAATGGTATAGGCTTCTATTCTGCCATCTTGCTCAGTCTCTCAGGACATGTACATTTTTTATTAAAAACAAATGTCAGTTGAAATTGGTGAATTCCTAAAAAAATGCAAATACTTTTCTATGAATAACAACAATGACCTTTCCCCTCCATTTTCTTCTCCAACTAATCATTTTTGTCTTTTAAAAAACTTTTATTTGAGGTTTGGGGGTACATGTGCAGGTTTGTTACATAGGTAAACTCATGTCATGGGGGTTTGTTGAAAAGATTATTTCATCACCCAGCTACTAAGCCTGGGGTCTAATAGTTATTTTTTTCTGATCCTCTCCCTCCTCTCACCCTCCACTCTCACGTAGGCCCCAGTGTCTGCTGTTCCCTTCTTTGTGTCCAAGTGTACTCATCATGTAGCTCCCACTTATGGGAGTATTTGATTTCCTGTTTCTGCGTTAGTTTGCTAAAGATGATGGCCTCCAGCTCTATCAGTGTTCCTGCAGAGGACATAATCTTGTGCTTTCTTATGGCTGTGTAGTATTCCATGAGGTATATGTACCACGTTTTCTTTATCCAGTCTACCATTGACAGGCATTTAGGTTGATTTCATATCTTTGCTAAACAATGACCTTTTAACTTGTAACTGAATGCAGGTCCAACCGATCACTGCTTGCAGAACTAAATAACAAGGAGGAACAGTGGAAGGAAAGTAACTTCATTTTTGAAAGCTAGCAATGGGGAAATGGTCCAGGCTCCTATCTTAAATCATTTTAAATTTTGGACAAAAAAACACAAAGGCTTAAAAAGGGGAGCTTGGAATGTGGGGCATGCAGGAGGGCCAAGGAGGTGCTGGTCTATGTGACTTGTTCCAACGACTTACGCATTATTGTCTCATTTGATGAATGAGCTGATGCCATCCCAGGCACAATCAGGTTAATTAACTGCAGCCTTGAGGTAATCTCCTGGTGGATGAGAATTCTGTTGGTGCCAGATTGTTTGAAGTTTCAGTTCCTGGAACTTCTAAGCAAGCATATAATTAGATAAGGGAAACATTCTGCAGGGGGTGAGGTGCCTAGTGGGAAGAGGTTATAATTTTGTTACTAAGTAAGGAGGGAAAAGGAAGGTAGAAAGAAAAATTTAGAAGTGGAGTACTCGGTTACTGACTGACAAATCTTGTGTTTAACAAAAAGAAAAAGCATCTACAGACAGGTAACATATGAGATTTGTCAAGATTGCTAGCAGTCAGAAATCAATCATTTCATAGAGGAGTGACTAGTAGCAAAACAAAGTTAGTACATTTATGGTTATGCAAAGCCTGTGACTTCACTATACCTTCTACACATAGTCCTTTATTCTAAGCCTAATTTGAGCTTAAATGCATTTGTGATTTTTGCTTTGCAAGCCATGCCCTGGTGATCTTCCCCCAAAGCCTACCCACATAGGAACATCCCAAGTGTGTTTGTATTAAAGAAAACCAAAATATTTCTCCCCAAAATATTGAGGATTGTTATGTCAATGACACTGAAAACACAGGAGAACGCTCTGCCTCAATATGCCTGATAGTGAGATGGGATTGTTCCCTTGACCCCCTTCATGGGCAGGAACTGGAGTGGCTCGTTTCACTCAGCCTGCCACTGGCCACTCCTCTCAAGAGGGTGTGTGCATACAAGTGAGTGTGGGAACAAGAGGGAATGAATGCTGGAACTGGCCAGTCACTCTTCTCTGGTGGGAGCAGGCTCTGTGCAGGCCCCACAGCATCCAAGCCCCTGCCCTCTCGTCACTCAGGTTCTTGTCTGGCGTCCAGGAAGAATTAGGTCACACAAACGGATTGAAGGGTAGTATATGCAGAGGATTTTATTGGGTGACGATTCTCAGTGGGATGGGAGTTGGAAAGGGGATGGTGTGCAGGAAGAAGGTGATCTTTCCTTGAAGCCACATGATGTGAAGTTAGCCATGTCTGTGTTCTCTGACACTCAATGCTGCTTCTCTGCTAGCTGCTCAGCAGCACGCAGCCCCGACACTCAGCAGCTGGTAACCCCAATCATTTGCATCAGCTGCTAGCTGAAGTCTTTTTATGGGCACAGGATAGGGGCATGGCAGGCCAAAAAGGCAATAATTTGGGTGGAAAACTGGGATCAGTTGTTTTCAGTTAGGGCCAAGGTTCCAGGCTGAAGGGTGGAGTTTAGGCAGGAGCCCAGCCCTTCTGTATCAGGGTCAGCTGTTTTCACTTAGGGCCAAGTTTCCTGGCTTGAGGGTGGAGTTTAGCAGGGAGCCCAGCCCTTCTGTAGCAATAGCAGGATATAATCCTTCCTTACTGGAAAATGGCACTTGCTTATTGGCCCAGAGAAGGCATGAGCAGGCACCAGAAGAATCTAGTGATAAGAGAAAAACCTTAGACGTATTAAATTCAGCAAAGTTTAATTGAGCAATGAAAAATTTGCAAATTGGGTATCCCCCCAAACCAGAATAGGGTCAGAGAGGTTCCAGCGCATCCACATAGTGGAAGATTTATGAGCAGAAAAAGAATGTACGGAAAACAAAAGTAAGGCCAGGCATGGTGGCTCACACTGAGCAGTCCCAGCTACTCGGCAGGCTGAGGTGGGAGGATCACTTGAGCCCAGAAAATTGAGGCTGCAGTGAGCCGAATATGTGCCATTGCACGCCAGCCTGAGTGACACAGTAAAACCCTGCCTCAAAAGTAAGATATAGAAATCGCCAGATTGGTTACAGCTAGATGTTTGCCTTATTTGAAAATGGTTTGAACAGTTGGCCACCTTTGATGGGACAAAACTTAGTGACTGGCCCAACAGTAGGTTACAATCTGTTTCCTCACCCAGTTAGGTAACAGTTTATTACGTAGGGAGAAACCTTTAGGCCAAACCTAAAATTTGTAAGTATAACTACCCAGTGGGTTTACCTCGCTCACTACCTAGACAGCCGATTTATCAAGACAGGAGAATTGCAATAGAGAAAGCGTAATTCATACAGAGCTGGCTGTACAGGAGACCAGTTTTACTATTACTCAAATCAGTCTCCCTGAGCATTTGGGGATCAGTTTTTAAGGATAATTTGGTGGGTGAAGGAAGACCAGTGAGTCGAGAGTGCTGATTGGTTGGGTCAGAGATGAAATCATAGGAAGTTAAAGTTGTCTTCTTGTGCTGAGTCAATTCCTGGGTGGGGGCCACAGGATCAGATAAGCCAGTTTATGATCTAGGTGGTGCCAGCTGATCCATGAAGTGCAGGGTCTGCAAAATATTTCAAGCACTGATCTTTGGTTTTACAACAGTGCTTTTATCCCCAGGAGCAATCTGGGGGGGTAGGAAGGGGTGGGGAGTGGTGCAATCAGAATCTTGTAGCCTCCAGCTTCATGACTTCTAAAGCATAATTTCTAATCTTTTGGCTACTTTGTTCCACAAAGGCAGTCTAGTCCCCAGGCAAGAGGGGGTTTGTTATGGGAAAGGGCCGTTGTCCTCTTTATTTTTGAAACCGACTTTGCAAAATTGTAACTCAGGAAATTATGATAATGAAAGAAATCAGACCTAACCGACTCTATCTTCTAACCCTTAAGCTGTCCTTGTTTATTCCTGGGCATAGGCCGAACTAACTTTGGGAAGGAATTCAGTTCATCGTTTGACTCTGAAACAAATTTAGTCCCGAAAAGACCCCCTTCTTACCTGGGGTCCAGTCTGCCTTTGCAGGACTAACAAATTAGCGACAAGTTTGGAAATTACGGTTTAGGGGTCATGCAGCCTCTAGCTCCAAGAGTCTGAACCACCTCGATTGCTCCTGAGGATAACATCACCTTTGTAAAACCTAAGATCAGCGCTTCAGATATTTTGCAGACCCTGTGCTTGATGGATCAGCTGATACCCAGACCGGTAATCTGGCCCAACCAGTTCCACCGTCATGCCCAGGAACAGGAGACATTAAGAGAACCTAACTTTGACCCCCTGTGATTCCATCTTCAACCTGATCAAACAGCACTCCTCACTTACCAAGCCCCTACCCACCAAATTATCTTTAAAAACTCTGATCCCCGAATGCTCGGAAAGACTGATTTGAGTAATGATAAAACTCCGGTCTCCCGCACAGCCAGCTCTGCATGAATTACTCTTTCTTTATTGCAATTCCCCTGTCTTGATAAATCAATTCTGTCTAGGCAGCAGGCAAGGTGAGCCCATTGGGAGGTTACATTTTAAACTATAAACTAAGTTTCTCCCAAAGTTAGTTCAGCCTACACCCAGGAATGAACAAGGACAGCTTGAAAGTTAGAAGTAAGATGGAGCTGGTAGGTCAGATCTCTTTGACTATCTCAGTTACAGTTTTGCGATGGCAGTTTCATAAAGAGGAGGCTTTAGGCTAAACTTTTTAACACTGGGACAGATTCTACTACCTTCCCACATTTTCCCACCTTTTACAAGTCTGGAACTGCATTCTCCTTTGTTTTGTTTTTATAGGATTTATGGTTCTTTGTTAAAATACTATTTAAGCAAGTCTCTTAAACCTTGAGAGATGCTTTTGAACTGAGGCCTCTCCCATGTCGTGTGTACAGCACACATCAGTAAACCTCTGCTGGTTTTTCTTTTGTTAATCTGAATTTTCAGGAGAGTGTCTCAACTAAGAATTTATGAGGGTTGAAAAAGAAATTATATTTTCTCCCCTTCAGTATGAATTTTCCTGCTTGGCATTTAAAATTCTGCTTGGAGCTCATTAGAGTTTTTCTACTTTAATAGAAATTAATGGTGTAGTATAATATGAAATATATTTGGTCTTTGTCTGAGGTTCCTGTCACAAAGTACCTAAAACCCTTAGAATTTCCTGAGTGATAGGAATGTCTTTTGTTATTCAGAATGAGCTTCTTTCAGATCACACTGGAGTTGATGTTAATGACATGACTTAGTGTGGCATTCCTAGATAGCCTCAGGAAGAATCCAGTCACTAGAAAGACAGTGATTGGAGGATTAGAGGCTTGAAACTTTCAGCACCACCCAGTGGGGGTTGGTCAGCACTGAAAAACAAGCTCTATAAAAACTCTTCAACATGATTTGGCAAGCCTTTAGGTTGCTGAGCACGTGGAGGTGCTGGGAGGGTGGCACAGAAAGAGGGCAGGGAAGCTCTGCACCCTCCCCCCACACCTTGACTTATCCATCGTTTCATCTGGCTGTTCATCTGTATCCTTTATAATAAACTGGTGATTATAAGTAAAGTGTTCCCAAGTTCTGGGAGCCACCCTAGCACATTATTAAGGTCAAGGGGCAGGAGGGGGTCATGGAAACCCCAATTTATAGCAGGTTAGTCAGATGCACAGGTTACAACCTGTAACTATCTCTAGGTAGACAGTATCAGAATCAAATTGAATTGAAATAAAGTATAGGGCACAACTATTTGATGTCCACAAAGAATTACTTGGTGTGGGAAGAAAACCCCCCGACACATCTGGCCAAAGAAGAGTCCTGTGCTGAATGTGAGAGTAGGAAGAAAAAACTTGTTTTCCCTCAAAAATGGACTCTTCATTCTGATGAAGGTCCCCAGTGAAACCTGACCTTCAAGCCAAAGACAGTTTAAAGCCTGAAAACCAAGCCACAAGTCTCGGATAAATCCACAGACCAGATTGAGAAGTTCTCTTCCCATTTGGCATGCTTTCCTCTGATTGATCCCCACCCTTCACCTATTTTACATAGACCTACCCTTCCCTAATTGGTTTTCAATACTGTTGTGCCCATCTTTCAGTGGTGCCTTTTTTTTTTTTAGCCTTTTTGGCTTACTCACAAACCAGTCAGCATGCACTCCCGCATTCTGAGCCCATAAAAGCCCCAAACTCAGCCACACTTTGGGACTGCTCACCTTTGGGAAGAGGAGAATACCCAACTTCGGGTAGGGAACTGCCAAACTTGGGTCCCCCTTTCTACTGAGAGCTGTTTCATCACTCAAAATTATTTGCCTTGCTCACCCGCCAGCTGCCAGATAACCTCATTCTTCTTAGAAATGGGACAAGAACTCGAGACCCACAGAATGGCGAGTGTGAACAGAGCTGTAACCCTGTAGCACGTCTCTCCCACTTGCCAAGCAATGGGAGAGGGAGCCACTGGGTGCCACATGCCCCCATTCATCAGGCTGCAGACAGTGGGACTGAAAGAGCTGTTAACACACTGTAACACCCCCTTTGGGGCTTCAGAGTTGCTGGTGTCTCCAAGTTTTTTGATAGCCACCATGTTCCCCTCATCCAGATGTTGGTACCCAAAGCAGAAGCAGGTCACAGCACACCCAACCTAGCTGGAGGCTGAGTGCAAACCCCATGGTGAGAGCAGGATCTGGGATGGAGTGCAAGCCAAGGGCAGCCTTTTGGGCTCAGTGGGTGGGGTATTTCCAGTGGCAACCCCAGGGCCAAACAAGGCCCGGGCAAGGACATTGCCAGTTGTGGAGGTCTCCAGCTAGTGAAGCAGCACCAAATAATCCTGTGTCCATTCTTTCATTTTCTTGGACTGTGTAACTTTTACAGATATCAAAAATGACACGCAACTGAATTTTAGATTTACATGTGGCTTTATCTGACTTAAGGTTACTTTTTAGAATCATTCTAAAACTTTAAATCTGTAAGAAAAAACATGTATATCGTAATGAACTTTTGTTGGGAAAACACAAGCCAAAAAGGAAAGGTTGGCACATTCTGCATTTGAGTTTAAAGCTTTTATTCATCACAAGACAACATAAAAAAAGACAAGCCCTAAACTGGGAATGTGTATTTTATAAAACATATAATTGACAGTGCACTACTCTACAAATATATAAGGATGATTAATTCCTAAAAATCAGAAAAAGATAACAGAAAAAATAGGGCAAAAGGTAATAGCACTTCACAGACAAAAATTAAAACCACCTTTGCAAAAATCATGACAGTGAGAAAATTATGACAGTGAAAGAGATCTGATCTAATCAACCCCAATCTTGCCTTTAACCTTCAAACTTTCTTTAATCATCACTGGGCTTAGGCCAAGCTAACTTTAAGATACATTTAGTTTATAGTTTAAATAATAGACGTTTCCCAAAACTAAACTGCCTTTGTAAAGCTAATGAAAGATGACAAGTTTAGAGAGAGGAGGAGCTTGAATTCTGCTAAGCTGTAGACATAAATAATCACTAGTCATTATTTTGGAGGTCACAAGATATGTATCTTCCCCAATTACTCCTACAGATGACATTGTTACTGTGGGACCTAAGATTGGCCTTTTGAGATGTCTTTTCAGGATTTTACACTTCCAGTGAACAATGGCTCCACCCGGACCCCCAAATCAGTCCTGTGGCCCCACCCAGAAGTGGACTCCCTGGCCTATCAAACTATTCTTGAAAAACCCTAGCCTTTGAATTTTGGGGAAGACTAATTTGATTAATAATACCATCTTCCATGTGGCATGTCCAGCCTCATGTCAATTAACTCTTTCTTTATTGCAATGCCATGGTCACAGTGAATTGGTTTCATCTGTGCAGTGGACAGGAAGAACCCACTGGGTGGTTACAAAGTCACAAATGGACAATAAACATTAAAAATTGCTTATCTTTAATTGGGAAAATGCAAAGTAAATGTGATGCCATTTTATGCCCCAGATTTGCAGAAATATAAGTATTGATGAGGATGCAGAATGATAAGAACTCATATAAACTGTTGGTGGGACTATGAATTGGTTCATACTCAAATCTTGTTATGATTACAGTGCTTACCAGTGCTAGGTACTCTTTCAAGTACTTTATATATGTTAACTCATTTAACCACATGGAAAATTTTTACTGTAATCTAATTAAATTGACAGTTTTCCTACAGGAGATTCCATGATTCCACTACTAGGTATATACCCTAGAGCAGTGGTCCCCAAACTTTTTGGCACCAGGAACCAGTTTCGTGGAAGATAATTTTTCCATGGATTGGGGCTAAGGGGTGGGGGACGGATTGGTGGTTTTCAGATGAAACTGTTCCACCTCAGATCATCAGGAATTAGATTCTCATAAGGAACACACAACCTAGACCCCTCAGAGGTGCAGTTCACAGTAGGGTTCATGCTCCTATGAGAACCTAATGTTGCAGCTGATCTGACAGGAGGCAGAGCTCAGCTGGTAATGCTCACTCACCTGCTGCTCACCTCTTTCTGTGTAGCTCGGCTCCTAATAGACCTGTATGTGTCCATGGTCTGCGAGTTGGGGACCCCTGCAGGAAGTCTTGTAAATGCATGTCAGGAAACTTACTGTTTACAGCCACATAGTTTGTAGTAGTAAGAAACTAGAACAATTCAAATATTCATCAAGAGAAAACTGGATAAATTGTGGTCAATTCATATGTTCATACAGAAAAAAAGAGTCATAAAATATGTACAGCAAGACATAATTTACATAAAAATAAAAACCATACAAACATGATAGTGATACCAGTGGGCTAGACAAGGTACCCAGATGCTGGTAGGACCTCAACCCTGGCCAGTGTCCAGGATCTTGACACTGTCTCAAGAAGGAATTTAAGGACTAGTCAGAAAATGGTGAAAGTATGGAGATTTATTGCCAAGTTAAAGTACACACTCAAGAAAGGGGATTGTAGGTGTACTCAGGAGAGTGAGTCATGCACAATAGGGTTTGAGGTTTCTGTCTATGGGTTGCTTTAACCAAGGAATGGAATATTCATGAAGATTTCTGGAAGAAGGTAAAGATTTCTCAGAGCTGTGGTGTCACACATTTTTACACCAAATATGGGTGTTCCTGAAACTGTCATGGTGCTGATGGGTGTGTGGTTGAGTATGTTAATTTGTGTATAATGAGGTCCTAGGTGAAACCTAGCTCAAATCCAGTGCCATGTTGGGCCCAGTTGGTCTTAGCCAGCTTGACCCACATCCTGTTTTTCAGGGTCTTATTAGTTCCTATCTTATGCAGCTATTTCAACAGTTTCCGTTTTGCTAGTTATGTGAAACTGCTGTCTAGAATATTCTAGGCACAAACACCCTGTATTATTCTTGTCTTAATGGGGCCTGTCTAAGATTAAAAGCAAATATTTGTCAAGTAGAAGAATATGGTCTAGGGATTCATTCATATTCAGAAAAACTAGAAAGAACCCACTCCCCAGGTGTATTAGGGTTCTCTAGAGAAACAGAACCAATAGGATATATATATATATATATATATATATATATATAGAGAGAGAGAGAGAGAGAGAGAGAGAGAGAGAGAGAGAGAGATGTAAGAGAGGATTATGGGAATTGGCTCATGACATTATGGACCCCAAGAAGTCCCACAATATGCCATCTGCAAGTTGGAGAACCAGGAAAGCCAGTGGTATAATTCAGTCCAAGGCCAGAAACTAGGGGAAGAGGAACAGACTAGTTTAAGTCCTGGAGTGTGAAGGCCTGAAAACCAAGGAAGCTCCAGTGTTCAAGGGCAGGAAAAGATGAATGGCCCAGCTCCAGCAAAGAAAGAAAATTCACCCTCCCTCTGCCTTCCTGTACTGCTTGGGCCCTTAACAAATTAAATGAGGCCCACTCATGCTGGTAGAGGCAGATCTTTATTCAGTTTACTGATTCAAATGTAAATCTCTTCCAGATGCACCCTCACAGACAAACCCAGAAATGATGTTTTACCAGCTATCTGGGTAGCCGTTAGCCCAGTTGAGTTGACACATAAAAATAACCATCAAACCATGGGAATTAAGCAAACCAAATTCAGCGTAATTGTTGCCTCTGGGTGGAGAATGGGAAATGAGATACTGAAAATACATCAGGCAGTTTAAACGGTATTTGTTGGTAAAGCTCTCTTCAGCGGCATGCTAGGTACAAGTGTTCATTATATTACTCTTTATAGTATATATATCCACTACACATATCTGTCTGTTTGAAATATTTTACAGTGTTCTTTATAAATAATACAGTGAAGAATGAGGGTATCTGAGAGCCCTCAAGGCCCCTGGGATAGTCCTGTGCATGCAGAGAGCGCTGCGTGTTTGCAGTGAAGGAAGCTAAGTTGATAGTTCTGAGAGCTAAGTTCACAATTCAAAGCATTCCTCCCCCATATTATCTTCCTAAGTTTTATAGAGGTGACTCTTCAATGAAAATATGTAATGTAACAAGTATTTTGACTAGCACTGTCAATTCATTTTATCTTCTTGCCAGAAGCACTGCTGTACTAAATATTTGTCAAGATGAAGAATTGATCAACTTGTGGTTCTGGAATAATCCTGCTCATTCCTTTTAGCATACTAACTTCCAAATGATATATGTTAGAGAATTCCGTTTTGCTCGCTTTGCTCTTTCCTGGGTGGGGGGGGGGGGCGCTGAAAGAGAGTTTTCTTTCTTGCCACTTTGCCAATTTATTAGCTATGTAATCTGTCTTAGTTTTCTCATCAATGGAATGGACATAACGAGGTGAGTGGTGATAAACATGTATGTATCTACCTATCAGTTGCTTGCAGCAATGCCAATGTCAGCATGCAATAAGAACTATATAAGCCATCATCATTATTATTGGTCATATACAGAGTATTGATTTTGAACAAAATTCTACAAATGGCAGCTATTTGAATAAACTGTAGTTCATCTTATGAAAACAAAGTGGATCTTTAACACTAGAAACATAATCATAAACTAGATAATGTAAGGCTTGAGAACATGGTAATTTAAAAGTTCTCAACTTAAATTTTTATTTCTAAATAGTATTTTATACAAAATTGTGATTTATAATTTTTTTAAATCTTAGCTTTTACATTTGCATCAGTCCCATGAAGAAGATATAACACTACCTTAAATTTCATTTGATCTTCAAATCGCACTTGGAAATGAGAATTATAATCCACATTTTATACATAAACAAAACTAAATGCAGAAGGAACAACAAAAGTGATGGGCCTAGCTTAAGACTGGCAGGCTGCTGACCTAACTCCAAGTCTAGGGTTCTTGCCTCAATATAAGAGCTGACTCACCAGTTTCCTCATTATTATAGATATTAAACTGTGAAATTGCAGACATTTCTGATTGCAGCTATGTGCCAAGTTAGAAGTGCCATGTTTGCTTTTGGGTCTAAGATAATTGTATCAAATGTCTCTTATGTATAAATGCCAATAAACCCTTACTGGAAGTTACAAAGAGCTGAGGTATATTAACATCTTCAATAGCAATTCAAGCTACAAATACGTTGAAAAGTTTGCAAATAAAGAAACTCTGAAGGGAAGTGTCTTGAAACGTGAAAAGCTAACTTTGATGGGCTCTTTTTAAGCTTATATTTACTTTAATTTTTAAAAACTAGTGTTTTGTTTGGGTTATAAAAGCAATACATCCTCATTACAGCATTTGAAAAATGTAAAAATTTGCCCAAAATAAAAAATTACCTATCATCTCTCTATTCAGAAATAATGAACATTTAATATTTTAAAGTACCACTTTCTAATTTGAGATACATACTACATACATACATATATTCACAAATATAATATTTGTATTACATAGTAATACATAGTAATATTGTATTACATAGTACAAAATATTTTTTCTAACATTTTGTTATAAACATTTTCTTTTTAAATTATCTTCTTTTTTTTGAGACGGAGTCTCGCTCTGTCGCCCAGGCTGGAGTGCAGTGGCACGATCTTGGCTCACTGCAAGCTCTGTCTCCTGGGTTCACACCATTCTCCTTCCTCGGCCTCCCGAGTAGTTCGGACCACGGGCGCCCACCACTGCGCCTGGCTAATTTTTTGTATTTTTAGTAGAGACAGGGTTTCACCATGTTAGCCAGGATGGTCTCGATCTCCTGATCTCATGATCCGCCTGCCTTGGCCTTCCAAAGTGCTAGGATTACAGGTGTGAGCCACCACGCCCGGCCTAAATTATCATATTAAGACCAAATAGAATTTATCTCAGAGATGCTTATCCCAGAATCACAAATATAGCAAAACAACCACAGACAGTGAGTTGGAGCTGAACTGAGTGCCTTCCAGGGCTGAGGTGGTGTCATTGATCACTTCAGCTGAAATCAAGAACAAATTTCATACCATCTATTTGAATTGGATGACTTAGTTACAGGGAAAGCTGCTCACAAGGGGCACATAAATAATGAAGCAGTTATTTTGCGAACCTCTACCAAGTAACCAATGGTAGATTCATTTTGGAGAGATCTCTGAAATGGTCTAAGGGAGAAATGACCTCCTGGTGGTACTTTAAACACTTGCAGCTCTCCTGTGACCATCTATAAGGTGGAAGTGTTTTGGGAGGGAGGCAGGTTAATGACTGGCTTCCATGTAAAAAGTACCATCCCAAAGGTGCACACGGTGTTCCTGGAGAGACCGTTTTGTTTACAATTATTGCTTTCCCTTGCCAAGTGGGACTTGTATTAGAGAGCACAGGTTGAAAGTGCCTCTAACTTAGGGTTCCTAGTTCAGTTGGAATATTTGGGTCTCGTCCTTGGCTTTGGAGGGACTGTCTGAGGGCTGTAGATCTTGTCTGTCCACACCACCAGCCAGCTGGCATTTATCCACCCCATCTAAGGTTGAAAAATCTCTCTTGTATAAATGAAATTCAGAGTTAAATAGTCCAGGGTGGTATCTGTTTGACAAAGTCCTCAGAGACTGAGGTCCAAGATGGTAGTGTTGCAGGCAGCAGAGTAGAGGAGATGAAGATGAAAGAAAATGGTATATGGGCCACATCCTATAAAGAATGACCCTGGAAGCTGCCATAGGATATTTGTGCTCACATTCTTTGACAGAATGAGTCACATGGCCACACTTGAATGTAAGGGAGATAAGGAATTTCAGTTTTTATTCTGAGTATGCATTTGTTCAGTTAAACATTATAAGTTTTCTGACTGTGGTGGTAGGGGAGAATGGGCACTGGGAGACAAGCAGCAGTAACTAACATAGAGTTGTGCTTTACATGCAGGGAAGCATCTTTAAATTAAAAATCAGTGAGCAGCCACCCCATTGTTAAGCATATCGCCATTGCTAGTAGAATCAGTTACATTCGCATAAATTCCTATTTTAATAGTGATTAATTTCAAATGGAAACGAAGCTAACTTCTAAAAGTCAGGTGTCACTGACTTTAATAATCAAATTTTGCATTTAGGCTGTAATTTGATTCCATTATTTTTTTCTATGTGGTTTAAGTTGGTGTGTTCATTACTTTGTAATTTTCCCATAAAACTTAAACATGGTTTTATTCTTTATTCTTACTTTGCTAAACAATAAATAATACACTTTCGAAAACAGGGAGAAATTGAAGACCATCTTTCTATCTATTGTGTTGATTCTTAACACATTCCACCTTCTTGTCTCTGCTTTTATCTTATTAGGTTTCTATTGCCTTAATCCCTTCGGAAACGGTGTTCAGGAACTAAAAAAGGGGAAGGAAAATTTAGGCACAGTATAATCAGAATTTATAATGGTTATGCATAATATTTTGGTTGATACTTGTTTTTCTCTTTATTTTTGAAAAACAAATAGCTGATAGCCATGTTTACATACATGGAAAATATCACTGTAGGTATACAGTTGTTCTCAGTAAGCTTACTTTTTCTCTCCGCTTAGATTGGGTTTATTTTTCCTGTCCTTCCATTGATAACTTAACTATTGGAGCACATTTATTTTTCAGTGTGAAATTTGCAGTCTTAATATATGGTAGCAGATGTACTGAGGTGGACTGGTTTGAGCTTTTGGACCCTGGTAGGTACACGTCCACTCCTTATAGATTCCCTGATGGTCCAGCATGAAGTCCACCTCTTCCATGAAACTTTCTCTGATAATTGATTTTTCTCCTAGTTAAAATGTTAAGTTTACAAGGCATGACTTGTGAGCATTTAGGAAGGTGTGGCTGTAAAGTAAAAATAAAACAGAAACCCAGCCAATCTCTAAGATCCTTTTCATTTCCAAAGATTTTTTTTTTTTTTTTTTTTTTTTTTTTTTTTGAGACAGAGTCTCGCCCTGTCGCCCAGGTTGGAGTGCAGTGGCATGATCTTGGCTCACTGCAACCTCTGCCTCCTGGGTTCAAGCAATTCTCCTGCCTCAGCCTCCCGAGTAGCTGGGACTATAGGCGCCAGCCACCACACCCGGCTAATGTTTTTGTATTTTTAGTAGAGACTGGGTTTCACCGTGTTAGCTAGTACGGTCTCGATCTCCTGACCTCGTGATCCACCCGTCTCGGCCTCCCAAAGTGCTGGGATTACAGGTGTGAGCCACCGTGCCCGGCCCCCAAAGATTTTTTGATTGAAGGACTATACAACCAAAGGATTTGTTTTCTTCAAAGTGATCACATGGAGGCGCAGTCCAATGATGTCAACCTTGCTGAGATGTTTGAAATTTCTTTTACAAGTTTCCATGAGAACCTTTGAAGAAAGCCTTCTCCAACTATCCTCAATGATGGAAATGTACTCATTCTTTAAGGATGGGTTTGATTCTGGGAGCAATCTAAAATCATTGGGAGACAAATCTGATGATTAAGTTGTCTGGAAACAATTTTTAGTCACTGACTCAATAAATGTGTGTTGAGCTCCAGTAAAAGCAAGTGCCATAAACAAAAACATGAAATGTATACTTCCTGCTCTTAAGATGCTTAGTGTGTAAGAGGGTCAAAATTGAGGTGAAATGACTGATTTTTCTTGAATTAAATATTCTTCGTATTATAGTACTGTTTTCTTTTTGTGTGTCTCCCAAAGGTCAAATGCAGTCTCGCACTTTGCGTGCTCTGTAGCCGCCTTCCTGACAGAGCTCTTTTGTGCTCACAGCTTCCTAAGATAGGTGGGAAATGATAACTCATCCAGACTTTGACACAATGGAAGTAAATACATAGAAATAACATGGAAGAAGATGCCCCCAAGTAACTGGAGTGAATTTTATTTTCTTTAGTCTTCATATCTTTTTCAGAAATTATAGCAGAAGGTCTCAGCATAACGAATAAAACCCCCAAATAATTATTGGTTAGGAATATTTAACACAGGGAGTTAAATTTCAGCTCCTTCCCTTTAAAATTTTTATTTTGATGTATACATGTGTGAGCTTGCCAAAATCGAAAGCTGCGCAAAGGGCTGATGGGAAGAAGTATGTGAATGCTGATATTTTCTTCTCCTTGAACGTATTTTTTTGTATTTGTCTTTGCCTTTTCAATTCTGCCTTTTTCTTGTCATTCTGTGCTGTCTAGGACCTCCAAACAGTGTAGAATAGAAGTGATGAGCTTTGTCTTGTTCATTTTAAAGTGAATACCCTGTTTCCTCATTAAAAATGATCTTTACTATAGGTTTTTCATAGATATCCATTATTTGTGAAAAGTCCCTTCAATTCCTGGCTAGCCAAGATTTTTATTTTGCAAATTGTCATATTGAATTTACCAAATACATGGCTATGATGTATTTTGTTTGGGGCCATTCCAACATCTGTGGTCTCTGAGGACTGAAAACTATCGTTCGTTGCTTCTAATGGATTAAGAACCTCACATACTGTGTCCTTCTGAAGCTTTAGAGAGGCTCCTTGCAGCTCCCATTAATTAAAAAAAATTCCCCTTATTTTTGGTTATATATTAAAAACATGTACTGTGTAGGTAACAAATACAGGTTAGTGGGTGTCTCTTTGGAGGAAGAAATGTAAGTTCTGCTGAAGGGAATGTGAAGGACTCTGATTTTGAAACAATTTTTAAAATTTGATATTTAAAAAAAAATCTAAAGCAAACACCGTAACATCTAATATTTGTTCATTTGAGGAAGGCAATTAATTTATTCTTTGTAAAATATTTTCAAAGTAAGTTTTTTTAAAAAGAGAAAAAGAAGCCTACTGTTACTAATAATTTTTGATTAGTTACTCCTTCCCCTGGAATCCCACGGCCCTTTGCTACCGTGCCACGTAACTCTTATTTCATTGTGCTATGATTTGTCTCTATGTGGGCATTTTTAATGTATTGTTTCCCAAATTTAACCAAAAAAGCTGGTGGTATAGCAATATTAATATCAGATTAAAACATTTACAGTGTGGAGACTGTTTTTACATATTTCACTGTCCGATCAGCTTTTAAATCTCTGAAGAGCAGGGACTGTATTATCTATCTTCATATTTCTGGAATCTGGCCAGTATCTGGCTTATTTTGCTGAATATTAATGCAAAAATTCATAAACATGAGGTTTGCATCATATTAAAGACCTATGCTGCTTTATTAAGTAATTTTATGTCATTGTACTGAATACATTTCTGTAATGAATTAAAATTTTTCACTGGATGGGGATGTGGTAGAAAGAGCTAGCTAGCCCTCCATCCTCTTCTGTTTTTGAGCACCCAGCTGACTACATTTCCCAGCCACCCTAGACATTATGTATACCCATGTAATTAAGTTCTCTCTAATGGAATGTAAACATAATGATGCGTGACATTTCCAGACACGGCCCACAAAAACGTTCCATGTGTATTCGTCCATGCTTTTCCCTTCCTAGCTGATCTTGTAATGTCAACAGCAAGCCCTATAAACATATTTTTAAAAGAATATATTTAAATATATACATTTAAATATATTCCTTTAAAGTACATATTTAAATATATTTTTCTAAAAATGTTTTCCATTTTATCTTGTTTCTCCTCTAAATATATAACTTTTCATTGATATGACTTTTTAAATAACTATCAAAAATATAAGCCTCAGCTCTTAGAATTTGTTTGCTGCAAGAATAGAGCTGCAAAAAACTTCATAGGATACTAAAATGTCTGTCACTCAACTGAACAGTATTTTTGGTTCCTTAGATTTTGGTGAATCTTGCAGAGCTAAAGTAATAGCTCTTATAAAAAATACAGGCCAGGTGTGGTGGTTCACGCTTATAATCTTAGCACTCTGGGAGGCTAAGGCAGGTGGATCACTTGAGTGCAGGAGTTTGAGACCAGCCTGGGAAACATGGCGAAACCCCATCTCTACAAAAAAAATAAAGAAATTAGCCAGGCAGTGTGGTGTATCCTGTAGTCCCAGCTACGAGGAGGCTGAGATAGGAGGATAGATTGAGTCTATGAGGTTGAGGCTGCAGTGAGCCGTGATTGCATCACGGCACTCTATCCTGGGCAACAGAGTGAGACCCTGTCTCAAAAAACAACAACAAAAACACAAAAAAGCTGAATGTTTAATAACCAGAATTTATCCTCCATTATTATGTCACCTGAATTATTCCTATTTGAATTACCTTAAGATATTAGTTATAAGTATATAATTATGACAATAATTATATATTTGTATATTATAATTAGCATAGTATAATTATATTCATGTTGATACTTTTATACATTCATTATAACTTTATAATACATTCTTCAGTATGTAAAAAGAGTCATGGGAAGACTGCAAAAATTATGAATGCTCTTTTATTAAATAATTATGACACAAATGACAGCCAAAATATTTATTATTGGTTAATATACCACTTAAAATCTCTGACCTAAAACAAATTTTTGAGCCACTGGAAAAGTGAACTTTCTCACAGAAATATTTAATGTTGTCAAAAGAATACTCTGTTTTAACAATAACTCCATTAATTTATTACTTTAAAAGATGCACAGTGCTGCTTTTACACATTAAAATTTCAGTGACATCAACAACATAACTATATGTTAATATTTTGAACTAACATTTCAAATGTAGACTGACCACATGTTTGATTTAAAGCTTAAAGAATCAATGTTCCCTTTTGTGAAGATGGCTTTTGTTGTCATTAGATTCTACTGATTTTTTAGGAATAGAGCTGCTCCACACTGAATCCACTGGTCTTGGTTGCCCCCACATGGAACATCAATATTGGTAACCACACGATCCCTTTCAGCACTTGTGTAAACAGGCAAAGAGATGCACTCATCCGGAGAATATGGACCACATGCATCCTGTTTAAAAAATAACTTGTTTTAAAATAAAGCAATACACTATTTGGAAACAGATTATTAGATAACCAAGGAAACAAACATATTAATATTATATTATGAAATGTTTCAAATTAATATGATGAACCCCTATCATCCCCCTGCAACAAAATGAAACACATGGCCTATCGTGTTTTATTTACAACCTCTCCCTAGCCCCAAACATTGGAGTATTTTGAACAGCACCTTACAATTACAAAATTTCACCTATAAATATTTACATATATATCTCTATAAATAAAATAGAACCATGTATTATCACACAGTAGAAAACTACCAATAATTCCTTAATATCATCACACATCCATTATCTCATCTCCTGTTTTAAAGAGTTTTTCTGTTAGAATCATAATTTAAATGAAGCCTATGCTTTGCAGTTTGTTGAAATGTCTCTTAAGTCTCCTAAATCTGTAAGCTTTTCCTCCTCTTTTCCTAGCAATTTGTTTGCAGAAGAAACTATACCAAATAGTTTCCCATATTCTTTTTTGGGTTACGTTCCCATGGTATCACGTTGCTCTGTCTGTTCCTTGTATTCCTATAAACTGGATCTAGAGGTGAGCTCAGACTCAATGTTTGGAAAATACCGCATAGGTGGTACTAGATGTTTCCATCAAGCAGCATATGTCTGGTTGTCTCTCTTTTTTGGCTATTAGAGGCCACTGATAATCACTTTTCATTCAAGGTTACACAAGGGGTAATCTATCATTCCTTATTCCAAGCAGGAATATATCTATAAAGAGAAACTTCCACTTATCAATTTTTTTATTACCATGAGGTGCAGTTCATATAAGAAAAACTAGATAAATGCCTATTTCCCTTTATGTGTTTTCAAAACAGTGAATGTTTCCTAGCACACTCCAAAGGTGATCAATGACCACCCCTTCTTTTTAAAAAATGGTATTATGAACTGGTGGGTTTAAACATATATGATGTGCTTTAATGCAATGCAATCGCTACTGCATTGGTGTTCAAATTGTCAGTCTTCGCTCAGGGGAACTTTTTAAGTTGGCTCCTGAGTTTTGATACGTCCCCAGTTGTCTCTTCAGTAGTTTCACTGCCTTTCTAGTATGACAGGTATTATTATACAAGTTCATCTTTTATATTTCCTGCCCTGGAAATTAGTCATTAATCTGATGATTCCTAGTTTCTTTCAAGAGAAATGGTATTAGAGACCATAATTTGGGTGCTAGGAATAATTGATCTTTTTTTTTTTTTTTTTTTTTTTTGAGATGGGGAGTCTTGCTCTGTCGCCCCGGCTGGAGTGCAGTGGCGTAATTTCGGCTCACTGCAAGCTCCACCTCCCGGGTTCATTCCACTCTCCTGCCTCAGCCTCCCAAGTAGCTGGGACTACAGGCACCTGCCACCACGCCTGGGCACTTTTTTGTATTTTTAGTAGAGACAGGGTTTCACTGTGTTAGCCAGGATGGTCTCCATCTCCTGACCTCGTGATACGTGTGCCTCGGCCTCCCAAAGTGCTGGGATTACAGGCGTGAGCCACTGCATCCGGCCAATTGATAATTTTAATTCTAGGATGTTTTAGTGACTGGAGCTTAGAAATCATGTATTTTTAAAAGAAAAACATCATGAGTTCATAATTGTATTTCCAATTCAAATATAGGATTAGCATTTTTACTGAATTTATATGATTTTATTCAATTAATTATTACTTTGCAGAGTTGGAATGGAACTTAAGAGGCAAGCTAGACCCATTTTAAAATATTACAAAAGTGACACTTCAGAAGCCCACAGAGAATTTACCCATGGTAGCCTAGTTAGGAAGTGGCAAAGTTGTCACAGATACTACAGTTGACAAAACACTCTAGTATATGAATGTTAGCAACTAATGTCTCTTATTCTGTTACTTTGCAAAATAGAACACAATAACATTTATGGAAATAAATTATTTTCAGGCTCTGGAGTACTTGTCTAGGAGCTCCTGACCCTGTAGAGGTTACTCTCCGAACATCAGTTTCACTATTATAGAAAGACAAATGACACTTACCCACCTCACAGGATGTGGAAAGAATCAGATGTCATATTAAAGAGCTCCAGATATAAGTATTATTTATCCACATGTCTCTGATTCTTTGGACTGCCTTTTCCTTATTCCCTGCTAATTCTCAAATCGACTAGAAAAAATCAGCTTTTTGGCAGCTACTACATCTCTTAAATGGTGTTATGATAGCAGTAAAATAATTTTCTTTCACAGAAAATTAAGACATTCTACTTTTAAGCCTAAGTGGGCATTATATGAACTTTACATTATCTTTTCCAATCCTGCTCCTCTCTCTGTCTCTCTCCCTCCGCCGCCCACACACATACCCACACACCAACAACTGCTCTGACTCTTCTGGCCCTTGATATAAATCAGTATGTCCCCCAAAAAATTATTCATTCCTAACATTCTTAAAACTTAACCTGATTTACATATAACAAGACATATTCTCTAGGTAAAATGATTCCCAAATAGATAAAAACACCATCTGTCCTAAATTTTTCTAATTATCTGTTTGCACTGATGAGCTTGTCAGTTATTCAGCTATTCATTTAACAGCACTTTATATGCTAATATTGTGCCTAGAATTGTAAAGGCTAAGCATTTCAGTACATAGAGAAATAGAGAAAATAATCTCCTTTGAATTTTTACTTTAGGAAACAAAATACACACATATCAAATATCTAGAATATAAGTTTTGGGAAAATATATACTTCAGAAAATCAAAATAAAGAAAATGCTACTCTGGGATATGTTAACCTAACAGTGATTCATGGAGAGAGTAAATCCTTAGTTGAACTTCAGAAAAAAAAATGTGGGATTTGGGATAAAGAGAATTTTCAACTTTTATCAGTCACTGACTAATCTCTTCCCTCTTGTTCAATTCTGCTTAGATGGCAAAGCTTTAGGAATAAAAACCTGTAATTGTCATGACTCCTTAGCCGATCTTAAAAGGTAAAGCCTAGTGCAAGCATTCCTTTACATTCTTTGGCAAAGAGCAGACAAAGATCACATATTTGTTAGACTGAAGTGATCTGAATCTATGATTGCCTATTTTTAATCCTGGGAAAGGTCTTAAATTATCTTTTTCCAACACCTGATATTTGCTTTGTTTTCCATTACTTCTATGATCAAAACTGAAATAGAAACACCACAATGAAATGTTTTACGATGTTATTCCTTTCTAGTCAGGAGATTTTCTCTATATCGATGTAAAGACTATTTCTCTTTAAATTAGGAACTTAATAATGCTGATTATTATCAACTTAAAGCTGATTTTTTGCATATTCACTAACAGTTTACTAGTTTTTGTATATATTTCCAAATTCTTCCAAATCTTTTAGTTGTAGGCTTTGTTTGTCTTACAGCCAGGGTACAAATCTTTCTTTCAAAACCTACAGTGTTTTAAAGCAAAGCAATACAGTGGCTTCTTGATATTTTGTCACTTCTCAAAATCTCTTCAGTGGTAAATGTTACTTCTGTAAAAAAGTTAAATACACTTGCTCTTAAGTCTCCAATAAATAAATGCTCACAGTAGAAGCAGGGACAAGTATTTTTGGCATTCTCACTATTATATTAGCACAATGTTTTGTGTATATAGAAGTTCTTTGAATACTCCTTAACTGAATTAAATTATTATGACCCAATTCCCTCTTTAATATCTTTAACAGGCAAAACATAAGACACTGTTGGGCTGAAGTATTTGGATGAAACTAAAATTTTATTAATAACTATGAACAAACACCCTGTGTTCAATTAATGCAGAAAAGGAGATATATTAGGAAGACTTCAAATAATTCACATTATATTTCCTCCAAAGTTTTGTGCAATTACAGTAATTCAAAATCTATAAATTGTGATTGATTACTCTAAAATGGTTGATGTGTTCATAAACCATATCTTTATTAAAACAAACTGGTCCAGTTCTGTTCAATAATGAGGCTAAAATTTGAAATTTTACACTCATTTGAATCAATTAGCTTTTCATAAATAAAAATTGTTTTATGTGAATAAACATCTTGCATAATTTTTCTGCTTTCCTAAAGTGTCCAAGAAAAGCCTGAATGTCTCACAACAAAATTTGCCCATGCCTTGGGCAAAATGACTTAAAAACATACATTCTACAAATAGCAAGCAATACACTACTATTTGAAAGAAGACAATGCAATTTTCAAAGGCAAAATGGTGACTCAGTAGTCCCCTCTTATTCATGGGGAATACATTCCAAGGCCCCAATGGATGCCTGAGACTGCGGATGGTGCCAAACCCTATATATACTATGTTTCTTCCTAAACATACATATCTAGGATAAGGTTTAATTTATACATTAGGTATAGTAAGATATTAACATAAATAATAATAAAATAGAATAATTGTAACAATACCACAATAATAAAGTTATGCAAATATGGTCTCTCTCTCTCAAAATACCTATTGTACTATATTCATTTATTTGCTGACTGTGGGTAACTGAAATTGCAGATACAGAGGGACTACCATATTAGATATCACTTAGTTTGCAAACCAAAGAAAGCAAGGAAAAGCAAAACCAAACAATGAAAACAAAATTATTACGTTACTCATATTAGCTATTTGGCCAATTTCAATTAAATTTCATAACAAAACACATATGAAGACAAAACAAAATATATTCATCAGTCTATGCACAGTCCAACTTATTTTAACACATGCTTTCTGAATGTTTATAATCAAGTCAATGAACAGTTCTTTTTTAGAAGAGGAAATGATAGGAAATCGGAGTTCTAATGTATGTACAAGTAGCACAATTCAGTGATGCAATTCTGGGGGAAAAAAATCTCAAAATAGGAAACAAAACAGCTTGCCACCAATGAATACTCTGACTTTGTTCTGTTAAGAATGTCTAGCTAGGTTTCAAAATGTATATTGGTAAAGATATACTTCCCTGATTTTTCAACAATATAGTGATAACATCATTACTTTCATAATAAGTCCTTGAAGAAAAAAAATAACATACAAAATATGTTAGTGAAATATTTGGTATTTTTAAACCAGAGTGTATAGAAGGCAGAACTTTCAACACATATCTTCTGATATATGTGATATTTTAACATCTATACAAAATATAAAGTAATGATTGTTTTCCTGAGTAGCTTGTGTAAATATTTTATAGTTCTATTTTCTCTGAGAATAAATTTTTTTCTGAAGCTGAATTGTCAATTGTGCCTATCAGAAGATCCAGCCTCATGGGTTCAGGCTGGCTCAGGACTACTGTGTTACTGTGGGGCTGATAAACTCTCAGGAGCATTATTTCCAGGAAGATAGAGCAAAGGCAAACTGACTTCCTGTGGAATGCCAGAAGGGCATCACTGAGACTGGTCTTCATCATAAAGCAGTGTTGACCAAATCATACTATGTGGAATATTAGATCCTGATGGAGCATAGGGTGTAGGGGCATGAGAAGGTTGTGTGGTAAGTAATCTTTGGGACTTCTCAGAGATGTTAATATAAGACTTTCCAAGGGAGGGAATATTGTGTTTATTAAGTTTGTTTACTGAATCATTTTTCATAGAGAATTATTATGATATATAGAAACATGTTAAGAAATGCACTGGAAAAAGCTAATGCTTTCTGGGTAAAATCCTCTAGCTATATCTTAATTTGAACCAATATTAATTTAACCAAAAATACTGCACCGAACTGGAACTGGAGTAACTTTAAGAATCTGTATCATGGAGCCACTGCACTCCAGCCTGGGAGACAGAGTGAGACTCCATCTCAAAAAAAAAAAAAAAAAATCTGTTTCATGAATGAATAAATAGTGTGAATGTCAGTTATATTATCTTAGTACATAGATAATGGTAAACAGAAATACTAGAAAAATATTTCATCAGCATTTTATTTATTTTCATTTTTCCTTGAATTCATCATTCCAATCTTGTTAATTCACAAAGTACACTGCATTTCAAATAGAGGCAATGATAGAGCTTCCTCTTCATGCCCCAATAGAAGTCTTAGAATTTGTTGATGATACCCTTTTTTAAGTATCACCACATACTGAAACAATGTTGAAGTTCTTCAATCTTTTGCAACCTAAAATGTTCTCTGAAAAATGGAGCTGCAGCCTAACTCAAAGCAATGTTGTGCAAATGACTGGGTTAGTGGGCAAGTTTCTGTTGAAACGAAGCTCCTCAGGGATACTGGGTGTCAGATAATATTGTGAAAATAATTTGTGAAATAACCTCCTTCTGGTGTAAAAAAAAAGTTTAGTTACCAAAGTTCTGAATTTTATTATTATCATATAATAATACATAATCTTTTAAACCTCCATTTTCTACTTTAAAATGGAGATTACAATTCCTATTTCAAAATTTTTTTTAAAGCTTAATATCTTGTATTTGAAACACCTTGCATAGTGCTTGGTATGTAATCAGTGCAAATAAATGTTCACTATGATTGTCTGGACACTAATGCTACCAATGTGGAACTCATAAGTCATTTAACTTACCTGATTCTCAGTCCTTTCATCAGAAAAATAGAAAATTTGCTGTACCAAACTCATAGGATTGTTATGAGACGCCAGTATAATTGTATCTCACAGTGTGCCAATCTATTATCCAACCACTCACTGCTAGACCGATTTTCTAAAACTACAAATCTGATCTTACCATACTCCTGTTCTCAATTCTTTAAAAAAAATTTTTTTAATTCTTTTTTTATTTAATAAAGATGGGGTCTTGCTATGTTGCCCAAGCCAGGCTCTAACTCCTGGGCTCAAGTGATTCTCCTGCCTTGGCCTCCCAAAGTGATGGGATTACAGGTGTGAGCCACCGTGCCTGGCCCTGTTCTAAATTCTTGATGGCTTCCTACTGATCATAAGGTGGTCTAAACTCTGGCATGGCTACTCAGCTTCTCATACTTGGTCTTGGCCTTCCTTTCTGGCCGCATCCCCCACCATTCTTCCATATGAACTATACCCTCCAGATGTACAATACTTGCTGTTCCCAGAATATCCTAAGCTCTTTTCTATCTGCATATATTTACATATGCTGCTACTTCTGTCTGGAATGCCTTGTTACCCTATCTTTTTTGAATTTGTCCTTAAACTGTTATTACTAAAGTTCAAGTAACAGTTCAAGAGAAGCTGCCACCTCTCTCAGCGAGGTCATCTGACTTTCCCTCATTGTTCACACATGGTAGAGTTGAAGCCTCCCTCATCTATCAAAGCACTTTATATAAACCTCTCTAATTGCACTAATGATTCCGAACTGTAGCACTCTCTTTGCTTATTTGCTTCCCCAGTTGGCGGAAGACTCTGCAGGAGAAATCTGTTTATCTTCGTAACCCCAGGGTTCAGCATAACATCTGGTATATAAAAACTCAACAATAACTTAATAATGAGTGAAAGTACTGGTAAACTAAAAAGTACCATATGAAATAAGATAAAACATTATAGCATTATAAAAGTTTAAATTATTGACAACAGGATAAATTTGACTTACCATGTATGAAGCACTGTGCTAGGTACTTTACACACACACAAACATATTTAATCCTCAACATGATCCTACAGAAACATTATTATGTCCATTTTCAAATGAGGAAACTGGCTCAGTGAAGTTAGGTACCTTATCTAAATCACCTAATTCATAAGCTTGGAAACTTGGATTACAATTTAGGTCTGCTGAACTAGAGAATTTTGTGTTCTGAAACACTTAGCAGTAGATCTCATGTTCTTTCCTTCTTAGCTGATATGGGACAGACATTCTGAAAGTAGTATGATTACAGGACAAGGAGGAGGCTCACTGTAAAGAAAGAAGGGGAAAAAGGAGGTGGGGAAGCACTAACAAATTCTTCCATTACATGTCATGTACAAGTGTAAAAGCCCAGGAGAAAATCTTACAGAAAAATATCATCACTGGCCATCAGAGAAATGCAAATCAAAACCACAATGAGATACCATCTCACACCAGTTAGAATGGCGATCATTAAAAAGTCAGGAAACAACAGGTGCTGGAGAGGATGTGGAGAAATAGGAATGCTTTTACACTGTTGGTGGGACTGTAAACTAGTTCAACCATTGTGGAAGTCAGTGTGGCGATTCCTCAGGGATCTAGAACTAGAAATACCATTTGACCCAGCCATCCCATTACTGGGTATATACCCAAAGGATTATAAATCATGCTGCTATAAAGACACATGCACACGTATGTTTATAGCGGCACTATTGACAATAGCAAAGACTTGGAATCAACCTAAATGTCCAACAACGATAGACTGGATTAAGAAAATGTGGCACATATACACCATGGAATGCTATGCAGCCATAAAAAATGATGAGTTCATGTCCTTTGTAGGGTCATGGATGAAGCTGGAAACCATCATTCTCAGCAAACTATCGCAAGGACATAAAACCAAACACCACATGTTCTCACTCATAGGTGGGAATTGAACAATGAGAACACATGGACACAGGAAGGGGAACATCACACTCTAGGGACTGTTGTGGGGTGGTGGGAGGGATAGCATTAGGAGATATACCTAATGCTAAATGACGAGTTAATGAGTGCAGCACACCAACATGGCACATGTATACATACGTAACAAACCTGCACGTTGTGCACATGTACCCTAAAACTTAAAGAATAATAATAAAAAGAAAAAGAGTAAAAAGTTCATATTACCTTTTAGTCATCTCTTCTATAGGATAAATGCTCTATTCATTTTACCTCTCTTTATATGAGCTATTTTTCAAATTAAATTAGCTTTTTATTCCAATCCTGACTTTTTAGAAGTATGACAAATAAAACTGGATAGAAATAATACACAAAGTAAAATATTGCCAAGCTATCAATTCCTAGTCTTGTAAAGTCACATTGCTTTTCATACAACCCAGTAACAGATTGGCTTTGTCCATGACAGCACTGCATTCCTGATTTGCGTTCAGTACGTGGGTATGGCTCCAGGTCATTGTCTCCTATATTTATTCTTAGTTGCTCTTCAAGCTCTATTTTTATTGTTTGGGTTTTTCCTCAAGTGAACCTGTTTATACTTGCCCTACTTTTTTTTTTCCTCCTCATGATCATTATATGGATTTTATTTTCCAGAGAATTAGCAGTTTATATAATTTAAATTCGTTGGAATTTATCTCTGCCATCCTAAACAATTTTGTATGTTATATTCACAACACTTGACAAATTCCAACCTTAACTTTTGTATATAAGTTTCAATTTGATTTACACAGCTAAGACAAAAATGTGTCATTCATAATTTACCAAATTTTTGTAGAAAATTCTTATAGGAATTAACAGCAAGATTGAAGTAAACATTGATTCTTTCAGTCTCTTCTCTCTCCTTTATCTTATAGTCACTCTAATTTTGGAGAAAATGAAGCTGATATGGGGGAAAAATAGGGAATTTTGACAGAAACATATGCTCTTTTAGGTCAGAGGATACTCTTATAGCTGTCTTGGCAATGTTGCTAACTGCTATCGCTTTTTAAGATTTTCCTTAAATAAATACTCTGGTGCATTTGATTTTTATTTTATAAGGAGAATGACAATAACTGGAAAATTCAATGCATTATTTCCCAATGAGAAAGCTCATTTTTCTTGTAGTGAGCAATATATGAAATAGTTTTGTTGCTCATTAGATACACAATCAGAACTTTAAAGTTTATTCACATGTAGTCATATGTGCATTCTTAAACTTTATTAAGAAAAAGTTATGTGCTTCTTTACAACTATGTCCTATTTGAAAGACATGTATACCCCAAGTTCTACTGTTGAAAGTTTTTTCAATAATGGTTTTGAAAGGAAAAAAGTTAACTAAATAAGTCTTTAAGATTGTTTTCTTCATCCACCTATCAGCTGCATAATGACATTGTGTGATACAAAGCCATACATCTATTAACACCTTAATTCTATCACTTTCTGTGTAGCTAACTACGAGAAGTCATTTAACCTGCGTGAGCACGTTTCCTCATTTGAAAGTGGGAATAATAATATCTGCCTTGCATGGCTGCTCTGAGGAGGATTTTAGGTAAAGCATATAAAGTACCTAGCACACATTGCTGAAAATAAGAGGAATGCAACACATGGTAGTTCTTATTATCATTAAAGGCTTTTTTATTACCAGGCTATAAACTCTCCAGAAATTAATACTATGTTATTCTTTCTATAACAAAATCAAGGTTTTCAAATGTCTTGTGCATCTTAAACATGATAAAGGATAAAGTACTTTTGACTGCAAATTTGTTCAAATGCAGGTGAGATTAGAAAGCAAACAAAAATACACAGGCCAAGAATGTCTTCTTGAAAAGATAAAATCTAAGAGAGAACTGATATAATTAAAACTTGTGCTTGTTAAAAATGTATTACCTGTGGAATCCAGCCCATAAAACAAGGGAGCACTGATGACACGCTGGGAGAATCAAGCTGATTTTCAGAAAGTTGATTTCCATCAAAACTACATCCTTCTAGTAACAAGCCACTGATCTGCCATGGAAACAAATATGTCATGAAAATATGCATTAAAGTCGCAAATGTCAGAGGTTACTCTATTCTACCTTAAGAGCTATGCTTTCCATTGTGTTCACCGATTCCAAATATATGAAAACAAAGATTATGGTACTTTGAGAATAAAGTCAGTAAGGCCTGGACTAGTGTTCACTGTCAACTTCTTTGAGACTGATTTCTCATTTTTAGCAAATATATTTTTGAAATTACATATAAATCTCATCTGTTATACAACTGCGGGTGTCTTGACATTAGTGTAATAGAATTACAGTGGCAAAAGCCAAAAAGTTATTCTTTCTCCATGAGGGAAGGGAGAAAAGCATAATTAGAGAGCAAACATTGTATTCCCAACCTGGAATTCTGACACCTTTTAAGGAATAGAATAAAGTTCAGAAAGTGTAATGAAAAAAACGACATGTGATATGAATATGAAAGAAGAATTAAAGAGAAGAAAGAATTCATGTCTTTAAGGTAACCTTGGTGTAGATATAAGAAATCCTGAAAATGAAAACACGGTTCTTTTGGTATTATTATCTTCATATTTCTTCTTTGAAACTCTTCATTCTTTTAGTTTCTGCAGTTAATCTAGCCTGACTATCCTAAAGGTAACAAATGTAGAGTCAGTATTTGGCATTTATAGCTCTTCTGGCACTTTGCCCTAAGAGCCACATCTATATTATCATAATTTGAACTTGGTACAAAATATAAACAAACTTAAAGTGTACAGTGCCGGCTGGGCGCGGTGGCTCACACCTGTAATCCCAGCACTTTGGGAGGCTGAGGCGGGCGGATCACAAGGTCAGGAGATGGAGACCATCCTGGCTAACATGGTGAAACCCCATCTGTACTAAAAATGCAAAAAATTAGCTGGGCGTGGTGGCGGGCACCTGTAGTCCCAGCTACTCTGGAGGCGGAGGCAGGAGAATGGAGTGAATCCGGGAAGCGGAGCTTGCAGTGAGCCGAGATCGCGCCACCACACTCCAGCCTGGGCGACAGAGTGAGACTCCGCCTCAAAACAAAACAAAACAAAACAAAACAAAACAAAACAAAACAAAACAGTGCCTTCAAATTTTAACATACTAAATGAAAGAACTATAGAATTCAGAATGAAGGGAACACTAAATTGGAAGAGTGAAGATAATTTTCAGCAACATACAGTCAGGGAATGGTTTAGGTGCTAGGAGAGAATCCCTTAACCAATTGTTTTGAATGATTTCATTACTTGAATTTTACAGTAAGGTTGCTGTTGCAAGGAAAAGATAAGTAACTTTGTTGTTAGTAAAAGAGCTGGGATGATAATATAATTATTTAATACTTAAATATTCTTTCTACTATATGACTAATGGGATATACAGGTCACTTGAAGAGTTTTGAAAATATTCTGGCCTGAATTTAGTTTTATCTGTATCTATAAACAATAAATAGTATTGTTTTTCATGTTTCCAATCTCTATATAAAGGGTAACATGCAACCTACTCTTTTCCTTCATTATTGGTTTTAAGGTGCATCCATTTTGTTCTTTCATTTCCAACAGCTGCACATTTCATTTTGTTAATATACAACAATTTATCCATTTTTCTGCTGGTGAATATTTCCAACTGTTTACCATTATTAAAAAAACACCTCAATAACCATGCTGTGTACTTCCTTATACACATTTGCATGAATTTCTCTAGGTAGGTTGAAGGTGTGGTCAATCTCAATTTTACCTAATATTGACAAATTATTCCCCAAAGTAACTCTATCAATCTATACTCTTACTTGTCATATATAAGAATTTACATTATGCTACAATCTTGCCAATACTTGGTCTGTTGAGACTTAAAAATTCTGTCAATCTGATGAGCATGAAATGGAATCAAATTTTGGTCTTAATTTCATTTCCTAGTTACTAGTAAGAACAAGTACTTTTCCTTATGTTTATTAGCCATTCAGGTTTCCTCTTCATCTAAGTTGCCTATTAAAATCTTTTGCCCACCTCCACCTTTTCCTTACTATGGACATTTTCTTTAAAAGATTGATCTATAAACATCCTTTATCTGTTTTAAGTACTAATCCTTTGTCAGTTATACAAGATACTAGTATCTTTTCCTAGTCTGTGGCCTGTGTTTTCACTTTCTATGGTATCTTTAATTTCAGGGTAGCAAATTTATCAGCTTTTTCCTTTAAGACTTTTACTTCTTTTGTGTCTAAAGAAATCCTGAGTAGATATTTTCCTGTGTTTTGTTTCTAAAAGTCTTCTCTTTCAGTTTTATTTCTGTAACTTTTTAAACCTTCAGAGTCAATTTTTATTTGTAATATAAAGTATGGATCAAATTTTATCATTTTCTAAATGAGTGAGCAATTGTTTCAGAATTATTTATCAAATAGTCCTTCCAAGCCCCTAATTTGTAACCAACTCCACTTTTGTCATGTGTCAAGTTTCCATACTGGCATAAGTTTGTTTCTGGACTGTTTTTTTTGTGTTACATTAGTCTGTCGTTCCCTAAACCAGCACCATACTGTCTCAACTGCCATTGCTTAATAATGATAACAATAATAATAGTGTGACACAGTGAAAAATATGGTCAAACATTCCTCTCCTCCTAATATGCACCCCTTTGCCAAGTAAGCTTGGCTGCTGCTTCCTTCAGGACGTGGAGTTTCTTTTCTACCCCTTGAACTTGGGCTGGTCTTTTAAATTGCTTTGACCAATAGAATGTGGTAGGACTTTAAGCAACTTCTGAAGCTAGGCTTTAAAAGGCTCTGCCTTCTAGAAATGCTGCACTGAAACCACCATATAAGGAAGCTCTCCTAGTCTACTACAGTATGAGAGGGCATGTGAAGGACTGAGGTACCTCAGTATGAGGTACCTACAGTATGAGAGGGCATGTGAAGGACTGAGCTAGCACCAGTTGCCATATATATGAATGAGGCCAGCATGGACCTTCCCTTCTAACTGATCTAGCCGAATGCAGATGCAGAGTGGGTCTGAGTAAATCAGCAAAGGATCTACTAGGCAACCCACAGAATTGTGAGAAAATAATAAATTGGTATTCTAAGCCACTAAGTTTTGAGCTAGTTTGAGCAAATGCTAACTCAAACTCATGTGCCACAGATTAAAAAAAAAAACAAAACACACTTTGGGATACTGGTTGAAATTGCATTAAATTTTAAAATTTGATTTTGGAAAGTCTGACATTTTTTAAGTATTTACTCTTGTGATATGTAAACAGGACATTTTCACCATTAAGTTCTTCTTTCTTGTATTTTTCCACTTCTCAAATTATCTGCGTGATCACGACTGAAATGTATATCTTTAAGTAACATTTAACTGGATTTTATTTTTTCCCCAGTCTGATAATCTCTCTTAATTGGTAGGATTAATATGTTTACAATAGTCATATATTTGGTATTATTCCCATTTTATATTTTTTTCTCTTTACCTTTTTTTGCTTTTTCTCCTTTTCTGCTATGGATTGTATATCCATTTTAGTGTTTTACCATCTACTTTTAAATGCGTAATTAAGTGTAAAACTTTCTAATAAATTCTTAAAGTATTCAGTACTGAACATAGTATGAATTTTAACACATTATATCTAATTGAATTATTGCTGTTTAGATTTTCAGCTTAAGCATAACATATTTTACAGTCAATATTTAAGCTACTTAAATTTAAGTTAAATTACACACTAAAATTATTTTGTTAATTTGGGGTTCACTGTTGTTTTAGGTGTTCATTACTTTCTCTCTGGCTTTACTTTTTGCAGAAGTACATGTTTCAATATTGCTTTCATTGAGGCTGTATGTGAGTGGTGAATTCTTGTGGTCTTTGGGTTCCTAAAGTCTCTTATTGCTTTCATTATTGAATTATTTTAGATGGCAATAAAGTTTAACAATTATTTTTCTTCATCAATTTGAATATATTATTTTACTGTCTTCTGACATCTAGTGTTGTGAATGAGAAGTCCGCTGTCAACATGGTGATTACTTTGGAAGAAAATCTGATGTTTTATCTGGTAACTTTGAAGATTTTCCTCTTTAATTTACTTTTGTTTATTATTTTTGGTACTTTGCAGATGCTTTTCATCCAAGAACTCATCATTCTCCAATTCTGGAAAATTCCTGAATTAGTTTTTCAAATTTCTCTTCTCTGTCATTCTCTCTGTTTTATACTTCTAGAAATCCTTTTAGAAATAGGTTGGAGTATCTGAAACTATTGTTTTTGTCTCATAACATAACCAATTTATCATGTCTTCTTCAATCATATCTAATGTATAGTTTGTCTATCAATTTTTTCATTTAAAGACTACATTTTTCATTTCTGACATTACTTTCAACTATAACTGTATTATCTTTCCCTGTTTCTCTCCAGAAGTTCTTGTTATTTTGTACTGCAAGTTATTCCTTCATGTATCTGTTCAAGGAAACTAAAATAGTTAACTTTTTTGTCAGATTTTTCTATAAAATTAACAACTAATTGACTAGCTGTTTCATCTGAATGATTTTGTTAGTTTTCCTTTTTGGATTAGATTTTTTTTCCCATTTACTTTGGATTTTGGATTCTAGGTTCATCTTGAGCAGTATTTTCCCTCCATAGACCTCTGTACTGTCCCTTCCATATCTACATACATACGATATTTATAATGCCAGTTTGGGGGTTCTGTTCTGGCAATGTTGGGATACTGCAGATCTCGTGGATAGGTAGTGAGATTCAGCATCTAAGGAGTCAGGCTATTTCTTTGTCTTTCAGCTTTCTTAAGCCTACAGATTTCTATAATGCCATAAACTCAATCAGTGATTCTGCAACAGCTTTATTTTGTTTGTTTGGTTATTTGCGGCAGGGTCTCACTCCCATTGCCCAGGCTGGAATACAGTGGCATGATCATGACTCACTGCAGCCTTGATCTCCTGGACTCAGGTGATTCTCCCACCTCAGCCTCTTGAGTAGCTGGGATGACAGGCATGCACCACCAGGCCTGGCTAATTTTTTGTATTTGTAGTAGAAACAGGGTTCTTCCATGTTGCTCAGGCTGGTCTTAAACACCTGGGCTCAAGCGATCTGCTTGCCTCAGCCTCCCAAAGTGCTGGGATTACAGGCATGAGCCACTGCTCCAGGCCTGCAACAGCTTTATTCAGTCTCTTTTTATTGGGGAGATGGAGAGCCTAACCTCAGAACTGGATTCGACCAGCAACAAGCCTGGTTATAGTCCTATGTAACATTTAGCACTACTAATTCCTTTTACTTTAAAAAAGCCATGCTTCATTGCTTCCTAATTCTGGACTTATAGCTCAATCTATCTGTATTTCCGGCCCTACTTATAATTTTATTTTCTGTCCTGTTTCTGACACAATGTAATACTTATCTTGTATTTCAAGCCAGCTAAGGTTTGTGATTTCCTTTTTTTATATTTTACCAATCATTAGTATATATTTAGATAAGAGTGGATGAATCACAATCTCCCTGGGCCATCTTCAGCGGTTCTCAGTTGTTTACAATATATTGAAAGAAAAATAAGGTTTGTACTATATGTGTTAGGTCCATTTAACTGCAAACATAATTTTTGAGAACGAATCACCATAAAATATTATACTGATCTGCATGATTGTTTCATAGGTTTATTCACTTACTGAAAATTCATAAAGCTGTACTCTGAAATTTGTACATTTTTGTGTATGACGCTACACTTCACTATTAAGGTTTACCCCCTCCTCATAAAAGCAAAAAGAAAGATATACAGGTCAACATTAAGAGGCGTCACATATATGCCAAAGACCAGAGACAACTGCACATGAAAAATAAAATAAATGCAATTTACTGAAACATTAGATATACAAGAAGCTCACAATGATACTTAAAGAGAAAATGTCACTGGACACTGCTGGAAACTATCAACAGCATCTTTTGAATATTCCCAGTTTAAATGAAAAAATTAGGTATTCTTTATTTTCAACAAAAAATGTATTTCATAATATCCAGGTAACTAAATAGACCTAATTGAAGCCTCTTTGCAGAAGAATTTTAGCTAATAAATGTGGAAGGAATAACAAAATTAGAAAAATCAGTGTGCAACCGTAGTTATCCAAGCAATGATCTATTAGATGAAATACTGATGAGAAACTTTACATGAGGAATGAGGCTGTCACTGCCTGTACACATGAATCAATGTTAGCATGACTAAAAACAAGAAAACAACACGTGTGTGCCTTATGATACAATGTAAAATGAAGAACACAGTGCCACTTATGAAGTATTTTTGTTGCCCCTCCACACAAAAAAAAATCAATGTAATTAGATCTTTGGAATTAATTTATATTTATAAGGAATGAGAGACAGAGGAACAAAAGTTTACTAACATAAGGAAGCAAGCAGATGAATACAGAATGTACATCATTCTATAGGAGAAATGACCCCACTCCTGTAACAGTGGTAATAAATGAAAGGTGGAACCTGATTTAGATATAAAAAGACTTAAGGCACATCACCAAATGCCATGTTAGCATCTCATTTCATTATTTTGACACTGATTCAAACAAACCACTGGAAAGAGTTCTTTTGAAGACTGGTCAATATTGTTTTGGACTGAATATTAAATGATTCCAAGGAATTTTAATTTTGATATTTGTGATAATACATTATATTTAAGAAAAAAAATATTTTTAAAGAAACACATTCAGAACCATAGAGGGGTAAAATAAAATGATGTCTGAAATGTGTTTTAGCAAGAAAAAAGAGAAAAAGGTGGAATGTTTCTAAATCTTAAAACCTTGAAATATGCAGACTCATTTTACTACTCTCTCTTCTGTATTTGTTTAAAATGTTTAATAATAGAAAGTATTAAACATTATTAAAAAAAAAAAACCTTGAAGACCAAAGGATGTTTACATTTTCTAGGGAATTGACCGTTCCATGCAGAGCTACAATATAGTACCCGTATGTGCTCAGCAGCCATATGTGGTTACTGTATATACTATACCGCATATGGCTACTGAGCACTCGAAGTGTTGCTAGGGCAATCCTCTCTCAGCCTTGGAGGAAGATGTAAAATGTAGGCTGAACAGGAGCTTGATTTATGTATTTTGCAATATCAAGTTTTCAAGTACTATTTAACACATAATAGATCAATAATGGCAGGAATTTTAGAGGGCCATGTTCAGGAACTGAAAATCAATACATAAATATGTTCTCTCAAGTAGGTCTAAAGGGTTTAAGATATTGATCGGTTTGGAGAACTACAGCCTCACTGTTTAATTCAGTCTATGGTGATAGAGATTTTAAAAAAAACTAATAAAATTATAGTGATAGTAAAATTCAAGTATAATTCAAATCCAAATTTCTCCTATTGAAACAATCCCCTCTGCTGAAAAACATAATTAAAAGGAGCCTAAATGGACAAATGAACTTACTAATTTTGCCAAGTGCTAACAGTGAAAGCCTTACAAAGACTTCTTCCCTGGTAACATTATTGGAAACTGCAGGCGAGAAAGTTAGAAAATGTGCTTTTATAGCTCACATGAATGGACCAGAGAGAGGAAAAGTTCTGTCGAGTTATCTTAAATCTCATATGTAGAGATGGCTTTTAAAATTAAAGTTGTAAGTATATGTGGAAATACATTACTAACAAAAATGACAATTATTTTCTAGTCATTATACCATGCTTATTTATGTTACTAAATATTTACAAGTGAATATTTTAATTCTTAACAATAAAATATCTTTTAATGAATCCCAAATGAAAAATAAAAGAATTTTGCTCACTGGATATACAGAACTTTATATGAAAACATACTTGGTTTTCTAACTAAGAAACAAATATTTCCTACTATATAAATCTTAATCATATATGTAATCTGAATATATATGAAAATATATATTCATTGTATATATAAAAATATACATTCATTATATATATACAGATTATACATATATTTTCAGAGATCCTCATAATAAACATGTCAATGAAGTTATTATTGAAGTCTACTCATAACTGTGACAGCCAAGGCTCAGACTGCCCCATTAATTGCTTAAAAATGTCACATAGCTCTTTTTCAGATACTAATATTATAATCTTATTTTACTGTCAGTGCAGCCCACCCCCCACCCCACCCACTGCCCCAATGTACAAAACAATTATATAAGCTTGGGATTTTCTGGTTGTGCACGACTTTATTCCCATTTTGAAAGAACGGTCAATATACTTTGGGAAATATGAACACATTTTGACACAATAAAACTGGTTTCCCTTGCTTATTATACTCCTAAATTAAAAAATGATGCTATAATTACATGCATGGTTCACAGCTGCCAGAGACTAAATATACATGTTTTGTGTTCCCTCACTCTCCTGACAATTGGATAGCAGTGTATGACCCACCAGTAATAGCCAAGGTACTTCTCATGAGCTAGGGGCTAAGGTTAAAATAAAATGTCAAGAAGCTGGGTGTGGTGGTATGTGCCTGTAATCCCAGCTACTCAAGAAGCTGAGGCAGGAGGATTGCTTGAGCCCAGGAGTTCAAATTCACCCTGGGCCACATAGCAAAACCCCATCTCAACAAAACAAAACGACAAAATTAAATGAAAGAAAACTTTTCTAAGTCCTTCAGCTTTTTTTTTTTTTTCTTTTTTTTTTGAGACGGAGTCTCGCTCTGTCGCCCAGGCCGGACTGCGGACTGCAGTGGCGCAATCTCGGCTCACTGCAAGCTCCGCTTCCCGGGTTCACGCCATTCTCCTGCCTCAGCCTCCCGAGTAGCTGGGACTACAGGCGCCCGCCACCGCGCCCGGCTAATTTTTTGTATTTTTAGTAGAGACGGGGTTTCACCTTGTTAGCCAGGATGGTCTCGATCTCCTGACCTCATGATCCACCCGCCTCGGCCTCCCAAAGTGCTGGGATTACAGGCGTGAGCCACCGCGCCCGGCCACTCCTTCAGCTTTAAGTGAGAATTTTATGGCAGTCTATAGAGCCAAAAGGGAAAGATCTAGCTTGTTGGTAATGATCAAATTTCTGGCACACTATACCATTGTAGCCGATGCTAGGAACACCTACTACAGTGCCTCTCCTATTATAGGCGCTCAACCCTTCAGAAAGGGTTTGATCGAATGCTTATTATGTAACGGCTATTGTTACTACTCTTGCGGGACTTACATTCTACTAGAATAAGACAACAAATATAAATAAATGACAGTATGTTAGAAAATAGTAGTAATACGAAAACAAATTTTTTGAGCAGGAAATGAACTATATGAATGGAATTTCCTTTTTTTTTTTTTTTTTTTTTTTTTGAGACGGAGTCTCGCTCTGTCGCCCAGGCTGGAGTGCAGTGGCGGGATCTCGGCTCACTGCAAGCTCCGCCTCCCGGGTTCACGCCATTCTCCTGCCTCAGCCTCCCAAGTAGCTGGGACTACAGGCGCCCGCCACTACGCCCGGCTAATTTTTTGTATTTTTAGTAGAGACGGGGTTTCACCGTTTTAGCCGGGATGGTCTCGATCTCCTGACCTCGTGATCCGCCCGCCTCGGCCTCCCAAAGTGCTGGGATTACAGGCGTGAGCCACCGCGCCCGGCCTGGAATTTCTAATAAGTTAGTTGTATAAAGTTAACTGCATTAAAGAACTATAGCCAGGCCATATGCAATGGCTCACGCCTGTAATCTGGTCGCTTTGGGAGGCCGAGGAAGGTGGATTGCTTGAGCCCAGAAGTTTGAGACCAGCTTGAAGTTTTTAACTGGAAAAAAATGTTAAGAGGGCAATTCTATGTAAAGAAATGGGAAAGAGGAATGGCAAGGAATGATAGTGTAAGAGGGGCTAGTGATACAAAAAAAGGTTGGGGTTGCTGGGGAAAAAGTTTCCATCACAGACTTTTAAATTATTTTTGTTAATGTTTGAATGATTACCTGTTATTGTAAAAATAATGGATTTTTAACAGGAAAAAGAGCTAAGAAAAATTTGTACTACGAAAGAAATAGATCATCATAAGTGGCTTTTTTTTTAAACTGTTAACTAATGTACTCACAAATTATAAACTCCCTGAGGACAAGATTTTTTATATACTAATTTTTATATACTATATACAGGTTGAGTATCCCTTATCTGAAATGCTCGGGAACAAAGTGTTTTTGATTTTGAATTTTTTTTTGAATTTTGGAATACAGTCATACATCACTTAATGATGGGAATACATTCTGAGAAATGCATCATTAGGTGACTTCATCACTGTGTGAACATGAGAGTGTACTTAAACAAACCTAGATGGTATAGCCTACTACATACCTAGGCTAGATGCTATAGCCTATTGCTCCTAGGAAACAAATCTGTACAGCATGTAATTGTGCTGAATACTGTAGGCAACTGGAACACATGGTAAGTGTATCTATGCATAGAAAATATACAGTAAAGAGAGTATAAAAGATAAAAAAAATCCTATACCTGTTCAGGGCACTTACCATGAATGGAGTTTGAAAGAATGCAAGTTGCTCTGGGTGAGTCAGTGAATAAGTGGTGAATGATGTGAAGGCCTAGGACACTACTATATATTACTGTAGACTTTATAAACACTGTACACTTAGGCTTCAATAATTTGTTAAAAATAATTTTCTTCAATAATTAACCTTAGCTTACTGTAACTTTTTATTTTATACTTTTAATTTTTTACACATCTCGTGTTTATGTTTTAAGCTAAGTGTTATTTATAAAAGTCAAAAAGTTAAAAAAATTAAAAGTATAAAGTAAAAAGTGTTTTGAGCAGGAAACTAGAACTATATGAATGGAATTTCTGAAAAGCTAGTTGCATAAAGTTAACTGCATTAAAGAACTATAGTCAGGCCAAGTGCAATAGCTCATGCCTGTAATCCTAGCACTCTGGGAGGCCAAGGCAGAAGGATCACTTGAACCCAGGTGTTTTAAACATAAACACTTTTTACTTTATACTTTTGATTTTTTGCGTATCTGTACAATGTGTTTATGTTTTAAGCTAAGTGTTATTTATAAGAGTCAAAAAGTATAAAAATAGTTTTATATCATTATTTTTTAAGTTTTTTCTTTTTAAAATTTATTTTAATTTTTACTATTTAAACTTTTTTGTTAAAAATGAAGACACAGATGCACACATTAGCCTAGGCCTCCCACAGGGTCAGGATCATTATTATCAGTCTTCCACCTTCACATCTTACAGCACTGGAAGGTCTTTAGGGGCAGTAACAGGCGTGAAGCTGTCATCTCCTATGGTTACAATGCCTTCTTCTTGTATACCTCCTGAAGGACCTGCCTGAGGCTGTCTTACAGTTAACTTTTTGAAGAATATAATTAGAAGGAGTACACTCTAAAATAATGATAAAAGGTATTATATAGTAAATACATAAAGCATGAACGGTTATCAAGTATTATGTACTATACATAATTATATGTGCTTTACTTTTATATAACTGGCAGCGCAGATTTGTTTACACTAGCATCACTGCAAACACAGGACTAATGTGTGCACCAAAATGTTACAATGAACAAAAGACGTCACCGGGCAATATGAATTTTTCAGCTTCATTATAATTTTATGGAACCACTGTAGTATGTGCAACCTGTCATTGACAAACATCGTTATGCAGTGCATGACTATTTGCACATACACAAATGAACTATCTTGGGGATGGGACCCAAGTCTAAACACCAAATTCACTTATGTTTCATATACATTTTATACATATACCCCAAAGGTAATTTTATATAATATTTTAAAGAATTTTGTGCATGAAACAATGTTTGCGCACACTGAACCATCAGAAAGCAAAGGTGTCACTATCTTGGCCACCCATGTGGACCAAAATACGACAATACGTGGTATCACATTGGCAATCAAAAAGGTTCAGATTTGGGGGTGTTTTGGATTTTTGGATTAGGGATGTTTGGATGCTCAACCTGTATGTAGTTTATTGTACAGTAAATATTAGGTTCAATTTTAGAACAGGTAAGGTAAAAGAACTGCATGGTTTGTATAAATTTGTGCTAAAAGTTACACTTTCAAATATTGTATCCCCAAGATTCTTATGTTTGCATAAGAAGAGTCTGTATTTTCTATTACAAGTTGTTTCATGCCAAATCTTATTTTGATTTTTCACATAGATAATACAATCTAACTCTACTGATCTTACACTATAAAGATAGGTCACTTTGAGATCAAAATTTCAGAATCTCTTATATCAGTTGGTGATAAGGCTGAGATTCCAAGATCTAAAATTAGTCTAGTACCTTAATTTGTAGCTTTGCTTCTTGCAGTCGACCTTTCCATGAGGCTACAAATTTAAGGCTATCCACAGAACGACCCACTGCCCTGTAAAGGTAAAGCATCAAAGTCACAAATCAATAATCCTTAGGAATTAAAATATGAAGAGTAACTGAAGATATAGTCCTATTTATTTAAAATTAAAATATTTACCATGTGTAAATAATAATACCATTAAACTATGCATAATATGTCAGAGTTCACACTAAATTTTCAAAGCTAACTGTCAGTCTCCTCTTTGATGCTGTAAGTTCCTTAAGGATAAGGCCTTTCTTTTTTTCATTTTTAAATCCTGTTTTGACCATGACCCTCAAATGCAGGCACACGATGGGTGTTCAATAAATGTTTATTAGCTGAACTGAAATTTGATGTTTATAATAGCCTGAAGCAATACAAATTGAAATACCCCTGAGAGTTACTAAACAACTAAATTTTGTTGAGGATATTTTTAGTAATGTCCCTTTTATTACATTCCAACTTGTTAAAAATTATATATGATATGATAATCTGAGTGTGGTAAGAAAAGGAGCTTGATCTTAATCATCAAGTCCTGTTCTCCACCAAGGAGCCTAGTCAGCACTGTCCAGCAGAATTTTCTGCGAAGATAAAAATATTTTCATGCAGTCCAAAATGGTAGCCACAAGCCATGTGGATATTGAGCACTTTAAATGTGGTTAGAGTTACTGAAAAACTGAATTTCAAATCTGATTTTTACTTTAATTCATTTACATAGGTCCATGTGACTTCTGGCTACCATAGTGGACAGCACAGGTATAGATAAATGATCAAAATTATAAAAGTTACATTTTATCTTTTTAAATTTGAATAAAACATATCATCATTAAAAGCAATGCTTTTTAAGCTAAAGGTTAACTGTATGATTTAAAGTAGAGAATAAGAAAATAACATAACTGTGTTTCAATAATAAATTTATTTCTTGACAATCAAGGGCAGTGTAATAGGAAGTCAATAAAGCAAAACTAATTACCGTCAGGGACAAATAGGTAAAGTATTTCATTTTAATTACCTTGCAGTTTCCTGGCGAAGAGCATTAAGAAATGTGTCTGGATGGAAAAGTTCTGATAGGTCAAGTGTTTCAGAGAGAAGAGCCTGTTTTTCAGCTTTATCTACCCAGTTCTAGAGGGGGGGAAATATGAACATATAAATACACACACACTTATAAGTCAATTAAAGACTTAAGTCATTTTCAATAAGAAAGTAATTCAGCTTCCAAATGCTCTGAAATGGTAGCTAGAAAATATATATATAACATTTCCATTTTACATTGTAAAGTCTGGCATTGCAATTTGGCATAATATCCATCCATCTTAAATACGATTCCTTGCACAATTGTTTGTTGGTAAAAATCTGCTCAAAATAAAAAGTCCAAAAGGTGAAAATTAACCTAATGTACAGCACCCCATTTTGGGCCAGCACTTGTAGTGTGCTGACGAAATACTGAGCATCCAGGCCTAACTAAAAAGTTCTCTTGGCAATGTGAACTGAATAAGGGTTCCAGTTCCAGATTTGATGGTGAATATGCCATCTTACAACAGTGGAGGGCAATGTCCAAGAAGAAATAATTTTGTGTTAAAAGGTGTTTTTAAATAATCAACTCATATTCCATTTGGAGAAATACATATCAATATAAAGTATATTTCATAAGCATTTTTTAAAAATTGCCATTTGGAACAGATAACAAAAACAACAGAAAGTCTGTGTAACACTTACTATATGCTTTCCATGTATTAACCAAATTTACACTTACCATGACCCTGCAAGTTAGTATTAGTATCCCCACTTTACAAATGAGGAAGTGGAGGCCCAGTGAGGTTAAGGGTCTTGCTCAAGGTCAAATAAGCTGCTGGAACCAGGAAGTTATTAAACTCAGGTAGTTTTAAGTGACTTGTTTCTCTGTAATATTTCCTGCAGGTGATAATATCCTTTAAGAGATAGACTGATTCAGAAATCATCAGTAAGCTATTAGTTCAGCTGGTGCACAGAGATGGTACTATAGTAATGTCAGCGATTAAAAACGTACAGAATCCTCATTTACTCAGTAATTCATTTTGCATGATTTATAAACAGCCTAGAAAAATATGTGTTCATTTAATTTATTACTGTCATAGAAAGGATGTGTTTCATGTACTGTAACACCCTATTATTTACCCAAGCATTTACATCTCTTAGCCAGGTCTAGAATAGAAGAAATTAAAATCTCTAAAGCTGTGTTTGCATTAACATCTTAATGCATTTGAATAGTACTCAGAAATGTTCCTATGTTCCTCTACCAATGAATAATATGTTTTGTATAAACAGAAAAGACTTTTAAAAGATCTTCTTAGCGAAGCATAATTATTTCTCTTGGCTATATCCTTTACAATGATAGCGCTTCATAAAGTATTTTCAATTAAATAATATTATACATAGCATATTTATTCCCTATCAAATAATTTTTATTAAATTATCTGCTAATTTCTTTCGCTAGCTAAACATAATCAACAAATTATACTTAACTGTATCTTTATTATAGTTAATATTTATTCCTGTTATTTTATAACAGTTATTTTAAAACAGTCATTTAATAAGTATTTCCAACTATACTACTATTTCATTAATGCTGTAAAATTAATTTTGAATTCAAATGTCCTGAAGAGTTGTTGCCAGTAATGAATGTGTGTATATATATATATATATATATATATATGTCTAAACTAACATGGCTGATAATCAGATTTTCACTTGTTTGAATAATATAATTTGTCAAGAAGGGAAAGCTCTTTTAGTAAAAATGTTATTAATCTATGGAAAAAATAACTTGTTAAGCTATTAAGCTTAAAGGTAGACTAATGCAAATGTGTTATTTAATGAGATAAATAAATAACAAAGATTATTTTAGCATGCATAATATCTTTGAACAGCAAACGTCACAGTGCAGAAACGATAAGCATATTTTTTTCTCTTAACCACATTTATACTGATAAGCATGAAAATAAAGAAGTAGCATTATCTTTAATAACCAGAAATATGCACACATAAATTGGGCTTTGAACAAAGTCGTAGGCATACTAACTGGCAAATATTTTTCATAAATGTTCTTTACTTCACTCTAAGTTATGGGCTATGCCCCTTTTAAAGGATTAGGTTTGAGATTAAACATAAAACCTCTAGTCCCTTCTATGACTATGAGACTATATACTCATAATTCTTCAAATGGCATATAACGGATATAACATGGAAGTAAGTGAATAAATAGCTAATAGAATTGAACAGCTAAATGGGCTAGGCAATTTCTTGAATATTATACACGCACAAACACTTAGAATCACAGGCAGTAAAACTTCTAAACTGGAATGAATGATAAAGATTATCGAGTTTACCTCCATTATTATAACATAAATGATTTTCAAAAGTGATATGATATTGCAATATTTTATTTTTAAAATGTTGATTATGTAGTAGGATTTACGAATTCAAATTACATTCATTTACTCAGAAGCATTTACTGAATGCAAACAGCTTATTTAGAGGAGATGAGACATACAAAAATAACTGTGAAAAATGATAGTAAGTGGAAAACTATGTAAGAAATAAATAGTATGTCATAAGAGTTCCACTCCTTTATGGACCAAAATATACAGAATTTTGAAGGTAAAAGGCTATCCTAGAATATTATCTAGGTAACTTATCAGTAAATTGTAATACAAGCAGGTATCATTTTTACATAGGCGAGAGTTCAGAACACATACATGTCTGTATCTCTTTCTAAAAAAAAAAAGTTTTCCATATCTTTTACATATTAATTAACACTAATATTTTTAGGGATATAGAAGTCAGAGGCTAATCCTATTGGCTATAAGCAATGAAATCAGTTAAACATAGAATTAAATCTATATAATTATTGTGACAAAATTAAATGTGCATGAAAACAACTTTATGAAAATCCCAAAGGGCCAAAAGCATGAGATCCAAAAAAAAAAATTAAGTGATTCAAATGTATCAGTGATACCCTATGGAGGAAAAATTCCTTTAAAGTTTTTGCAAACATTTATGAAATGCGTATCCACACACCAGGAAGAAACTGAGCCTCTGATCATAATCAAGTAAAAATGTTAGAATTTAACCTATTATAAGGTCACTGAGGAATAAAAACATTATTCAATCAATTATGCTGGGGAAAAACTATTGTTTTGGAAAAAAATTCAATCTTCAGTTCACATTCTAACCTAAAACTGTGCTACTTACCATTCAGAGTAAAATTTTATTCCATAATGGAGGAAAAAAATTCACATGAGGAAAAAAAGGGGTGAGATTATACATCTGATTACAGAATGGTGGACTTTCATTAAAAAGATAAAAGAAATATAGGCTATATTATACAAGATTTTATATCTATATATATACCATTAAAACTAAATTGGAAAAACACATTTACCACAAATATGAAAATGAGTTAATAACATTAACAAAGTGGCAAATTGTTTACATAATTATAGAAACAAGATATCATCTTCAAAAGTTATGTAAAACTGAGATAGGTTTTTAGCCCAACAGAATAGCAGGAGAAATGATAACGATTAAATGTTGCTAAGGGTTGCAACATGGACAAAATTTTGGTAGGAGTATATACTGGTACACTGTGATAAAACAATGTGATAAAATGTGTCAAGGCTTTAAAAATATACAAGCCTTGGCTGGGCACCGTGGCTCATGCCTGTAATCCCAGCACTTTGGGAAGCTGAGGTTTGGGGATCGTGAGGTCAAGAGATCGAGACCATCCTGGCCAACATGGCAAAACCCCGTCTCTACTAAAAATACAAAAATTAGCCAGGCGTGGTGGCACGCGCCTGTAGCCCCAGCTACTTGGGAGACTGAGGCAGGAGAATCGCTTGAACCTGGGAGGCGGAGGTTGCAGTGAGCCGAGATTGTGCCACTGCACTCCAGCCTGGTGATAGAGCAAGACTCCATCTCAAAAAAAAAAAAAAAAAAAAAAAAAAAGCCCTTTTACTCAGTGATTCATTTCTTGGAATGCAAATTAAGGGAATAATGAAGACATTATTATACATGGCTTGCTCATTCAAAATTATAACAAATTAGAAGCATAATTAGAAATTAGCTGATTAAATTATGGCATAGCACTACATTTCTCCTGCTATTCTGTTGGGCTAAAAACCTATCTCTATATATCACTACAAAATTACACAGCCAATAAAAACTGGTATTGGAAAAATATCTAATATAATTGGAAAATGTTTAGGAAATTAGCTGATTAAATTATGGCATATCACTACAAAATTACACAGCCAATAACTGGTATTGGAAACATATTTAATATCATTGGAAACTGTTTAGGACCTAACGTATTTATCAGAATGCAAAAATGTATACACAGTATGAACCTAATTATATAAAAACATTATTTAAATACATAGAAAAATATGGGGAAAATATCAAAATATTCCAGTGGGTCTGTCTAGCCTATAGCCTATTAATGAATATCTTCATTCACATATAATTGCAATTCTATAATGTAAAAGACAATGTTATTTATAAACTGATGCCATTTTACTTTGTTTTAATGCACTGTGTTCCTTGGCAAAAGTGTTTAATGCAAATAAGTAATTTAAGCGATCATTCTTCTCAATGTGCCATGTCCACATTTTAATGTATTGTGTTTTAATTTTTATTCAATTAAATTAATTTCCAACTTTATTTTTGATATCTTCTTTGACCCATGGGTTATTTACAAGTATTTATTTTATTTCCAAATATTTTAGGATTTTCAATAAATCTTTGTTACCGGTTTCTAACTTAATTCCATTGTGGTGAGAAAGCATACTTTGTGTGGTTTGAATTCTGTTAGATTTATTTAGACTAGCTGTATGGCACAGAATGTGACCTACCACTGTAAACACCCTGTGCGCACTTGAATGCGCATTCTGCTTTTGTTAATGTTCTATAAATATTAATCTGGCTAATAGTGTTACTCAAGTCTTTTATATCTTTACTGATCTGCTATCTATTTATCCTTTCAGTTACTGAGAGGCGTATGTTGAAATCTCCAACTTTAATTCTGGATTTATCTATTTCTCTTTGCAGTTCTCAGTGTTTTGCTTCATTTATTTTCAAACTCTGTTATTAGGTGTGTAAAAGTTTGGTTTTGTTATGTTCTTTTGATGACTTGATCTCTGTATCATTATAAAATAATCTTTGTTATCTCTGGTTAGTAACTTTGCTGGGACACCTATTTTGCTCAATATTTAATATAGCTACACCAGCTTTCTTTTGGCTAGTGTTAGCATGATACATCTTTTTCTATCATTTTCCTTTTAACTTATTTGTGTATTTATATTTAAAGTGCAATGCCATGATGCCTTATGGCCATCATAGTTGGGTCTTGTTTTATCCAATCTGACAAGTTTTGCCTTTTAATTGGTGACTTTAAAATACCTATCAATTTGTAAAAATGCTACCTAATTATATGTATTAGGTAGAAGAAAATTAGCTTATAAATTGCCATATTTTGTAGGTAAACATTTCAGTGTTTTAGGCTGAGCAAAATGGAATTCAATGAGTAAAATTATGGCTCTAACATGCTTTCAGTAAGATCATTATTTTTTAATTAAACAATATTCTAATTAAGAATAATAATGAAAATGAATAATTTCTAAACTTAATAATTACCACATGTATAGAGAAGATTTGATTAATATAAAGTTCAATGTGTGACTTGGTATGAATAACACTCTTGGCTTATTGATTACGTGGTTGAGTGTAAGACAATTCTTGACCTCATTCTTTAAACAATGGATCAATTTGAAAACTAGATGGCATTGCTGAGCTTCCATGAATAGTTAAATACAATTAATACATGTGTTAAAAATAATTTGAGGAAGATATTTTGAAGATCCAAAGGCAAGCACAAATATAAATCCTAACTGTTGGCCTTCCTTCCTGCATACAGTCTAGTCTTCAAAAGTTGCCCAGAGTTATCCCATCTCACTCACAGAAGTCAGTGTCCTTTTGATAGCAGACAACGCCTGCATTGTCTGTTCCTGCCTGAATTCTAAACCCATTGCCCCTCACTACCTAACTTCTGACTTCTCTGGACACCTTTTTCTGTCTTGTTTCCTTCAGGCACACTTGCCGCCCTTTCTCAAAAAACCCTTTTTGCCTCAGGCCATGGCACTTGCTGTTCCCTCTGCCTGAAACTCTCTTCTACCAGACATTTACCTGTATAGGCTATTCCCTTACCTCCTTTAGGTCTCTGTTCACATGCCACCATATCAGAAACGTCTTTCCTATTTCTACCAGTTTTAACACAACAAATTTTTAAATATTTTACCTTTATATCTACAGCTCTACATGCTACTAGTAGGAATTAAGAAACAAAGGAAAAAAAAGAATCTTTGATCAATTTAAATCAATACCTATAGTTTTATACCTGGAATTTGGCTAACATTTTCCTAAAGTAATGACTTCATTGTGTTGCTTTTCTGAGAGTTTTTCAAAGTAAAACTTCTAAGAAACTTAAATTTTCATGTCCCCATGTTCATGTTTTTAAGTAACCTTAACCAAGAAACAGGTAAGTACTGGCTTTGAGAAGGGCTTTAACATGATAAACTTATAAAGAAATTCTGATGTTTCTGGCATTTCTTATCTCCAGATTTAAAGATATTGCTGAAAGCTGACTATAAGAAATCTCTCTCTGCCCTACCCTCTTCTACTGTGGATTGAGTTCCCTTGTAGGCTGGATAACACTTCTTAACTATTTGCATTTCCCCTCCTAAGGCACAGAAATAGTTTGACTTAGGACTTTGTTTTTATGGTATTTTAACCTTTACTTATTCTAAATTTCCCTGAAGATTCTAACCATTTTGTAGAATATAAATGTCAGAACTAGCAGATCTGGAGCCACAGAGAAATGGGATAAGATTTTCCTGTGGAAGAGGTATCTTTTTAGAAACAGTTTTAAGTTAAATAGGAAATCTCTCCACACACTAATTTATACACAGAACATGATGTTGTTAAACAGTATTGTGGAAGAACATACACACACATGATCACCCACATTCATTCCAGTAAAAAGCACTGTAGATAATGTAGTAAGCTCCTCCCCAACCTCCCCCGATTTGCTTACTATTATCCTTAAACGTAATATCCTAATTTTTCTACCGAAAGTTATTATTTTCTTCCCCCTTTAATCCTTGGCATAGTAAGCATAGAACCTGCATCCAATAAGGTGGAAAAAATTTCTGAAGAATTTTCAAATGCTAAAAGTGACCTGCCACTTGTTAATCATCCTTTATAATTATGTCTTAGGTATCTTAAAAGACTAAGCCTTTTTCTTTCAATATTTATCAGAGAGTTGCAAATAACATAAAAAAAATCCTAGTATTTTGGGTCCTACCTTGTTGGTTATTATTTGGATGTCAACAATATCTGGTAAAAATATTGGACAAAACATTAAAAAACCCCAAAACTCAAATCTTGAATTAACAAAACAGAGAAGAAACAAAACAACTTTACCCGAATTAATGAGATACCCACAAGAAACAAAACATTAGTAGTAAACCCAAGTGCTTATAAAATTTAAAGCATGTTACACATTTCCAATGCCTTAAAAAACTTAGTTATAATAAACCTCTCAAATAGAACAAAGTTTAGCCATGCTGTCTAGTGATGGATGCAGATTCTGGGACAAAGTAACTTCTATGAATTTGATGAATGTGGTAATGGCATGATGGATACTTGGAAGGCTTGCTTCTTCCAAGTCTGTAAATTGAAGTCAATGACTCTAACTTTTAAAATCGTAACCACTTTTTGACTGGGTTATGTTAATGGTTTCCCACATTGTGTAGCGTACTGAAAAGTCTCAAGCTGTACAAAGGATTTGAGGAAGATTTTAGGCCCCACAGCTCTATTTCCACTGGGTTGATTTTTTACCTTGTTTAACTTTATTAAGTTAATAGACATAGTCTTGTCTAGAAAGAGAATATACCCTACCTTACTGTTAAAAAAGGAAATCTTACTCTTCCCCATCCTTAATATAGCCACCTATTAGAGTACTGGAGTTTCCATCCATAGATTTGGTATTTTTTAAATTAAACTTATAAACCTGGGTTTCTAGGCTCAATATTTGATATAAAAAAGTACCATTTTTCAGTAGAACTTTGTGATATATTTTTATCACCTTGTGGAGGAAATCTCAGGTAATACAATTTCATTCTTTGTTTTTTATTTACCATTTCCCTGACTTTTCTAAATAGAGAAATGAGTTGAGTTACATGGGCTAAAAACCCTGATGGTGTTCATGCAGAACCTGAACCACTATGGGAAACAAGATTATTAAAAATTACTTTTTGGCACAGTATTTAATTTTTAGTGTGGCAAAACAGGAATTTATAATGTCCACCTACTTATAGGTCTCCTCTTAATTATTAATAATAATTTATAACTATAACTTATTTTGTGAATAGTTCAAGCTCCTATTTAAGGCCTATCTTTCCACATGTGCATTGGGCCCTATTTCCTCTTGCCTTTTTAAGAACTTTACTCCTAAAATCATTTCCTTTTTCTTGTACCATCAATTTAAAAATTTATAGTGAACACAGATATGGTCAAAAATCCCCTATATTAAAAAACAAAACCAAACCAAAAAAATTCCTTTGGCTCTTCTCCCTGTCAGTCTCACTCTATTCATCTGTGTTACTTCATAACACAACTCCCTGAAAAAACTGTCTATATTTGCTGTCTCAACTTCACCCCTTATTCTTTTTTAAACTCATATGACCAGGCTTTCATTCTTTAGAACTTCACAAAACATCTCCTCAAGATCACCAACGTCTTCCATGTTGCCAAACATGATTTTTCTCTAACCTCACTTACAGCATTTGACATAGTTGATAATTCTGACCTTTAAGAACACTTTATTCTCTTGGCTTCTTGATCACTACAGCCTCCCAGGCTTTCTTCTATATACCTAACTACTATTTCTTGGTTTTAATGATGGACAACTTTTCCTTTTCTAAACATCTCAATATTGAAGTGCACCAGTGCCAGATACTTGGCCATTCCTATGGTTTTAAACACTATGTTGATATGCTGATAATTGCTAATTTTCTATTTCCAATTCCAGTAGCTTTCTCATCAATTACTTCTCTGACATTTCCACCAAGATGTCTAAAAGACATCTAAACTTATCATGTTCAAATTAGAACTTTTAATTTGCAAGACCACTCCCCTCCTCCCTAAACAACAACAACAACAACAACAACAACAACAAAACTCTGCTCTATTACCATATTGTCAGTATCCTTCAACTCACTAAACCACTTAACCAACTGCTTAGGACAAAACTTTGAAATCAAGGGCCGCGCACGGTGGCTCACACCTGTAATTCCAGCAGTTTGGAAGGCCGAGGCGGGCGGATCACGAGGTCAGGAGATTGAGACCATCCTGGCTAACATGGTGAAACCCCGTCTCTACTAAAAATACAAAAAAATTAGCCGGGCATGATGGTGTGCGCCTGTAGTCCCAGCTGCTAGGGAGGCTGAGGCAGGAGAATGGCGTGAACCCAGGAGGCAGAGCTTGCAATGAGCTGAGATCGAGCCACTGCACCCCAGCCTGGGCAACAGAGCGAGACTCCGTCTCAAAAAACAACAACAACAAAACTTTGAAATCACGTTTGATATCTCTCTCCCATGCCCCATAGCCAAATCCACAAGTTTAATATGAAAATATGACCACTTCTTTAAGAAGCCTCCACCTCCACAGCCACCACCCTAGTCCATAATACACAGCTACCACCCTAGTCCATCATAACCTCACTTGGATTACTGCAATAACCTCTTTTTTTCCGAAGCAAGTCAGTTGTTTACTCACATTAATATTCAAATCTCTACATAAGTAAAAAGAGATTAAAAAGAATATATAAAGATAATCCCAGAATAAAATCATACTTTAAGATGGGCATAGAAAGAAGCCCCAAATGTCCATAGATAATAGCAAATATAGGTCTATACAAAGATAGTTTCATATACTAAATGCTGAAACATCTGCAGAATGAAAAATAAAGTCTTTCAAATATTTATGTGACTATCCATAATCTTGAAGATAATTTCCTCAACTAGTTCGTTTTTATGAAATCATTACATTCCATCAAGATATTTGAAAGCAGAAAGTGAATTTTACAGGCATTATTTATTTGAATGTACAAAATGTATTTATTCATTCGGTATTTGAGAAGAGATGCAACTACTTGTATGCTTTTTGAAAGCAATAACCTCTTAACTGGTCAGGCTGCTCCTATTTTTCCTCCCTATAGCTTATTCATATACCAGCGGAATCACCTTTTAATCTTTTGCTCTCAATCTTCTACTGACCTCCCATGTACTCAGACTAAATTTAAATTTCTTACCAAGCCTACATGGACTCATACATAATGGTCCTTGGCCACCCATTCAACCTTATTTCCAGTAAAACTTTCATTCCTTGAACAAGCAAAGCACATTCCTGTCTCAGAGATTCTGTACTTACTGATCTCTCTACCTGGATTTGTTTTTCCCTCAGATACATTTTAAGGTTTGCTCTCTTACTTTATTCAAGTCTCTGTTTAAATATCACCTCCAAAGACAGGCTTTCCCTGACCATACATACTAAAGTGTTACCTTCCCCAACCCACTTGTCTCTAGCCCCCTTAATCTACATCATTTTGCTTTACAGCATCCTTATATGTATTAGAAATAAAGTTTAATTCATTTTCAATATTTGGCCAGGATCTGTTATTTGCCTTTTACCTTCTGGTAGGCTTAACAAACAGATGCTTACTTTAACACTGTTCTGACATCCCGGAAATATATAATATTAATATTTGTATAAGGACAGATGTTACTACCTTATTTAATAAGTGTAACAATGTTAGTACTGTCAACAAGGCATGACATTTAGATTTATTTAAAAATATTCACTATATGCTACTTGAATGAAAACCCCTTATGTGCTCTATAGGTTGAAATTATCTTAGTCTGAATCATTACTATGTGTTTAGTATAGCAAGAGAAGAATTTAAAGAATAATTATTATAAAAATTGTTATTTTTATGTTAAAGATTTCAGAACTTATGGTTCAAGAAATAGATTGATAATTAATATAAATATTAGATTATAATAGCAAGATAAATATTAAAAAGCTGGAAACATTTTAGTCAAGAAATATTAATAAAAATTTAACTAATACAAAAATATATGTATCAAGACAGTCCTGAAATCCAGATCTTTGAGGAATTATTCAATATACTGACATTTTCAAAATTAAATAACATGTAACAAAATTTAATCGTAAGTTACTTTGTTCCATGAGTCTTTTAAGAGGAAGAGTTATGTGGAAATATTTCCCATTTTGTGAGGACCAAATAATAATGGAATAACAACTTTGCTATCTCAAAATTTCTCAAGGAGAAAAAGTCAAATATTTTAAAAATATCCAATATAAATCATCTTCAATCCAGACATAAAAATAAAAGACAAAGGAGAGAAAAAAATAAAAACTAGGTACACATAATATTTTCTCACTTATCAAATTTCAGAACTGCAGACATCAAAAATAATATTTAGGAACAATTTCCTGTTGAGGTTTTGAATCTATGGAGGTTAAAAAAAAAACTTGTCAAAATCACTGACATAGATTACCAATAATTTTCAGGAGATGAAGTAAAAGGAGTTCTGAGGCTTGCTAAGCTATGAGTCTTATGTTCAAGATTCTTTCTAGAATATATATTACTAAAAAATATTTTCTTAAATTATTTTTATTGTATACAACAGTTAGTATTATTGGTAGTATTAAGCCAAACACTCAATAGTCTACTTCAATATTATGTATAACAGACAAATAGATAAATAATATAATATACAGCCCAAAGTCCTTTTAAAGTGTGATAACATATAAATTAACAATAAAACCAATCACTACTTTCCTTGCTTGTGAAGAGATTTCCAGTTGCAAATAGCTAACAACAAAGTAAAGCTGATAGATAATAGAGAATGGAAAATCAGCAAATAAAGCATAATGCAATTATTGACAGTGGAACAAATGTGGTGAAGGCTATGATTGATTTAGGAATCACAAGTACACAATGTTTTGTTCACAACCTTCCATTGTATCTTCAGAAATAATAAAAAATTTTGATAGCTGGGATTTATTGACAACAGCAGAAAAACTGTCAATCATTTCTTCTTCTTTACCAAAAATAAAAGTATATGGCATACAAGACATTTAGCAACTCTTTTGTTATATATTAATAACGTATGTTCAAACAAGATTAAGAGAAGCCTTTAAATGGCAAAAAAAAAAAAAGGGCTCATAAATCAAGGGAAGCATTGAAATGATATTTTGCAAGTAAGGGTACCAGCATAGGAGATATTACTAACAATCACTGGTTACATGCAGGGAAAAATTGTTTGCTGGACCTTGCTGATTCTTCAAGAAACCAAATTTGTCATAAGAGTTTATTCTCTGCATGTTTTCTGCTGTAAAGATACTCTTATTCTACTCCAGGAAGCTGCTAAAATTGGTATGCATGTGATGAAAGGTGCAATGCAGATAGAAATTCGGGAAAGATTTTGTTATCTTCAAAGCCAATTATGTTGCTATACTGTCAAATTTCTAGAACCAAGATTTATCTTCTGCAAGCAGTACAAATAGCATGTTTTGTAAGATTGCTTCTGTAAAACTGCATATCATTGTAGACCATAGAGTACTGTTTAGTATTCCAAATGTGCAAGATAGTTGGCCATACGAAGGATTTATCAGCTGTTACTGCTGAGAAATTACTGTCCCTGTGCAAAATTTGACTCAACATTTTGTAATACTATTGCTATAGTAAAAGCTTTATTTTTCTGAATAAAATTTCAGATATATACCCTAAGTTCATACTGTGATGGTGATAACCCAACTTAAAGCTTGGCCATATATTAATCTTTAATTTCAAGATTTTGATGTAATTCTAATATTAACATATTTATTTGTTTGCTATCTATCTCCTTCACTAAAATGCAGTAATTCCTGTTCACAGGAATTTCATGTTTTCTCACTACAGTGTATTTCTACGACTTAAGAACAGTGGCTGGCATATAATAGAAGCTCAATAAATATTCACCGAATGAATAAACTGATAAATATATACTTATTCATATATATGAATAAAAAACATCCACAGGTTTCTCTTCTGGGTATAATATACAAAAATGGGGATGCTGGAGGTTTTAAAGCCACATATAGACTTTTTCAACTTTGTTTATTTATATAAGTCTTCTATGAATAATTTTACTGAGTACTTGCTGTGTGTGAAACACCGTACCAAGGACTAGGAAAGTTACTAAGATGAGTTAGGAAAATAATACACTCTTCCAGAAATGCAGAATATGGTAGCAGAACCTTCCAAAATACAGTAAGACACCTCAAAAAATGAGTGAAAACCTAACAATGTAATTATAATAAATTGCTTTTTACATTTGAGATCTTAAGAAAAATAAAACACTTCAAATGATAGATTGTGGAAATATAAAGTTAAACCATAATATTTATGGGTAGATTTAGATAGAAGCCAAAAATCTCAAAATAGATAATGAAATACTACAGAATATATCTCAGGAAGCTAAATCTTGATGATTGGAAAAAAGAGATTTATGCCAATTTGCTTGAGAGTAAATAACCTTATGATTGGAGTCATTTATTTATTCAACAAATATTTACTGAAAAGCCTATTTGTACAAGTTACTGTCTACATGCTTGGATGGGGCAGTAAACAGACAAAAATCTCTGCCCTTATGAAGCTTTCTTTTTAGTGGCAGAATACATAGAAACTTTTAAAAATAAATAGATTATAATATACAGAGTATTAGACTAAGATATAGGCCACAGAGAAAAATAAAGATGGAAAAGAGAGTAAGAAGTATTGGAGGGGGGAGTGCGGGGGTTACATTCGAAACAGGATGGTCAGGGAAGGCCTCACTGAAAAAGTGACATTTGAGCAAAGACCTGAAGGAGGTAAGGAAGCTTCCTTGCACATATCCCGGGGAGAGCATTCCAAGGAGAGGAAGCAGCAAGGGTAAAGGCCATGAGAGGGAGCGAGCTGGGTTTGTTCACTGAAAAGCAAGACCAGTATGGCTAGAACAGAGTAAATGAGGTAGAAAACTGGGAACGAAAAGCAGAGAGATAATGGGGCTTCACCTTAAAGAAACTTGTAGGATGTGTAAGGATTTTGATACTCAAGATGACTAGTCATGGGGATATTTCCAAGAGAAGAGTGATGTAATCTGAGCTGTGCTTTAACACCAGAACATTTGAGATTGTGTGGTTGAGAACCAATAAGAATGGGAACAAGGGTGGAAGCAGGACTCTAGTTAGATAGTGGCTGCATTCACAATGACTTCAATCGAGGTAGTGGTAGTACGGATAGTAAAAGGTACCTCAATGTATTTTGAATGCAGAGAAAATATGACTTTCTGGTAGACTGGATATAAAGTGTGAGAGGAGAGAAGTAAACAATGATTCCAAAAATTTTAGACTGAACTACCCGCTGGGGAACAGGGGATAACACTAAGTGGTTCTAGATTGTAGTACTTCTGCTATTTGCTCAAATACTTCCTTTAATGATTTGTTGTTATTGCTTATTTAGTTGTCTATTTTCCTGATAAGCTTTAATGATAGTCTATATGTCATGCTAAGTGGTATTTACTAATAACAATAATTAATGCTATTTATTGCTTAGATCTCCCCAAACTTCAAGGTGCTTAATAGTTGATATAAACAACAAAATTCTGTCATAAGAATGAAGGGTGGCAGGATTTGGTAGTAGAGCAACGTACCAGCCACTGGCTTGAGTTCAGCAAAAAAACTGAGTGGAGTTCAAGTCGTCACTGTGGATCTTAAAACTAAAGACATGAAACTGAAGCAGAAGTTTAAAATGAACTGTAAGTATTAATGGCAAACCTTAATGCTAATTTAACACACAGCACTCCAAGTTTGCTTTCCAATGGAAGCATAATGGGGGAGATATTTAGGAGTCCATTAAACATTTCTTAGAATATTGGGTCTATTTAGCATAACCAAGTATAACTAGCTGATGGTGATAAAGATCTCTCTCTATATCCTGGCTTGGATATAGAAATCAACACATGAGCAAGGCTGGAATAAAAATTACAGGTGTACGGTCAAGGGATCCAACTATGAGTAGTTGAGAAAACTAGGATAAAGGAACCAAACCAAAGCTGACAATGTAAGATTTACAAACAGGGTAGAGAACACGCTAGAATTTAGAATGATCATCACAGAAGAATCAGAATATACTGCTGTAAGGGATACGCTACAAGCCAAAGGGAAAACACAGAGTGGAAATCAGGAACACAAGAAACTCTTTGAAGATGTTATTTCTGAAGAAAAGACAGAAAAATTTGAAGCCAGGGAAATAATTCTAAGTTCCCCAAAGAGAGTAATCTGTCCAGTCCATTCATTTGTTAATTCCTTTGTTCATTCATTCATTCAGCAGACAGTATATAGGTATTGGAAATATAGTGGAATTTTTTTTTTAAGATCTTTGCTCTAAAGGATCTTACAGAAACCAGAGAGTGAATGCAAGGCTGCCTGCAAGACTCTCTGTGGCTCAGGTTCCTTGGATACCTAGGGGATCTATAGCTCTAAATTAAGAGTATTCAGAGGAGTCTTAAACCTTTTGCCACAAAGTAGACTAAGACTCTCTCCATACTGCAGCTAAAACAGTCCCTTTAAAACATAATCTGACTTTCCTTCTTAAAATGCTGCAATGGTTACCTTTTGTCCTTAGGATAAAATATAATTCCTTAATACATTATCATGATTTGGCCCCTCTTGCCCTCCAGCCTGAACACCCCTCCTTGCAATCTATGCTTTGCTTTTAGTTACTTGAAAACCACAATGCTTACTTTTTATTAATTTTTTTTACAAAATTTCAATAACTTTGGTATAACACAATACTTACTCTTGATATCAGACTCTGGTCTGCCTTCTGTCTGATACATTCTTTCGTCTCATCCTCATCTGGTTTATTCCTACTAAGTTCCCAGCTTAGGCAGCACTTCTCTGACCCCTTCTAGGTTAAATAGTGCTATTTGCTTCCATAATACTGTACTTCCTTTATCACTCTTCTCTTACTGTTGTTTATTCAGTTCTATCTTTCTGATAAGTTGTAAGGATAGTTCCTGGAGAACAAGATGTATGTCTATTTTGTTTACCACTCTATATTCAGCAACCTCACACAGTGTTTGGCACCAGGAAAGTATTAATCACATTTGCGGAATTATCTTTTTTTTAAGAGGCGAGGTCTCATTGTTGCCCAGGCTGGACTTGAACTCTTGGGCTCAAGCGATCCTCTTGCCTTAGTCTCCTGAGTCACTGGAACTATAGACACATGCCACTGTGCCCAGCTTACATTTATAGAACTTTTATTGATAAAATGATAAATGAATGAAGATAAGATCTGTGAGGCAGTTATTGTATCTACTTACTAATCCTGATATCTCCAGTACTTCACACAGGGTCTAGAATAAAGTAGCTGCTTATTATATTTTTGACTGAATGAATGACTGAATAAATGAATGCTACCTTTGACCCAAGTCAGTCTTACCTTATTTGCACAGAACCCCTGTAATAAACTGGCATGATATATGACACCCTCAATAGTTTGTTCTCTTTTCCCATAAACTATGCCTCAAAATGCAAGACCCTAAAATCTTAAACTATAGCTGGATCTGGGCTCAACCTGCTGTATACCTGTTTGGATTGAGTCTGATCATTATGCTTTCTTAAGAAACCAAAAGGTGCCATTTTCACAGATCCTTGCAAATAGTGCTTCTAATTTTCCCTGCCCACCCAGTTTCCCATCCTTTGTTTTCCAAATAGGTAGTTACATTGCTCTCCAAGTATCACAAGCTGCTCTGGATATGTACTTGTGAAACAGAGAAGGCACAGATGAAAACAAGGGATCTATCGGGCCCTTGAATAGATGAAAAGCAAATCCCAAATATTAAAGGTTACCTCAGGGAGATGGATATCTATATATATTTATAATTTAAAAAAATATTAAGCCAGGAAAATAAAACAATGTAAAAAGTATCCCCAAGTGGTTGTGGAAGAAATAGTGCATATTCCCTGGTTGGAAGGATGAAAGGTAAGCTATGGTCAGTCCTGAACATTATCTTGAGGGTTAGGAGGGTATTTTATCACTACAATTAAGGTTAAATGCCTTATAAAGCTTTTAAGAAAATTACACAGTAGAAAAGTGTTCAGTTTTGACGACCAGTTTTTCATCAGTTTTTATGACCAGTTATTAATATATGAATAACCATGCAAGAAAATTGCAATAATTCATGTAAAATTGTTTTAAAGAGTATTAATTATAGTACCACTGATATATTTATCATTATAAACTCACAGCATAGTTATTAAGTGTACTTACATAGTGTAATATAGGCTACCATTCATGGCAAGTTTAAAGTCCCTGTCCTTTTAAAAATAATTTAAAGGAAACAGTACTGAAAAGTACATGAAGTGGTAAATTATCACAGCCATGCAATTATACAACAAACTTCAGAGCATTTCTATACTGTTCTAAGATCACTAATAGACTTTCTCCCTTTCTTCCTTCCAGCATTTAGTGATAAATTATGTCCAGGTATATACACAGCAGATAGACAGAAAGATGACTAAATCAGAGTCCCTGCCAGATTCTTCTCTACTTGCTAATTTTAACCTCATTTCCAGATCTAGTACTTTTTTTTCCTTTAACAATCCTACAATCCAGAGAACTGGTTATAATAGAAGCCAAACAATTGCTCAGATCAGTCCTGGTGCCTTCAAAGGAGTCCCAATTGTAGGCTGGCAAACAGAGTAAGAAGAGATGAAAAGATGAAAAGACAGAAGAACAAGGGAAGACCCCCTGGAGGAGGTCTCTAAAGAGAGGAGAACAGACAGAATCAGTACACAGGTCTAGGGATGAGCTTTCAATTTCATAAGGTCAACTTTTATATTAGAACAAAGATGACGAAGATGGCTTCAAACAAATTTGTAGATGAGAGAGAAGGACAGGAATTTTCAAGTGGTCATATCTCACAGCTTGAATTTTCTCTATGAAGTAAAACGTAAGGTGCTCTGCTAAGGAAAAGGGGAGTCAGTGACAGAATGGAGTCTTCAAGAAAGAGTGAAGAACATCACTATGGAATACAGGAGCAGTGCTCAGGGCCCATCCACTGTATCTGAACCGTATCTGAAGTGTACACTGTACACTGTATCTGAAGTTTCGGTAGCAGCGCTCAGCAGCCTGCATATGGACAGATACTAATCCAAGTTAAATGGTTTTTGGAAAGGATGAAGCATAAAGAAAAGTGAGTTAGGATACTGAAGGTGCTAGAAAGAGAATATAGTTATGTGCCACAAATAGAAGGCTGAATCGGCCAGAATCAGGAAAGAAAGTGATAGAGAACTGAACAGGAAGAGACTGGAAAGTCTAGAGAATACAAAATTGAGAATGAAATGTGGCTGTTGTCAAAGAATAACATGTATGCTTAGGGGTTCAAAGGTGGAGCAGGGATGAGTGATGACAAATGTGAACAGACTTGTGGATCATTATTTTAAAAAACATGGATGAAGAGTGCTGCATTGAGAAGATCAAGTTATTCATGTGATAGTAGACGTTAATGTGGTTAAAACAAAAGGCTCTTTTGTGAAGCTGGTGCAACAAGCAGAGGAAGACAGTGGAAAATCCACAAAGGTACCTTGTTTGCATCAACTAACCTGTATCATGTTTACTATTCCTTAAAAATACACTCTTTCTCTGTCTATATTATTCTTCTGTTTTCCTGAAGTTACCTGACTGGTTTATTCTGAAAAAACTTGATCAATTTGAAGAAAACTTTTTTAAAGCAGCTCCCCATAGGGAGCTCCCTAAGGCAAACTAGTCACAGTGATGATTCAGTGTCAGTTACCGTCTATGTGATCCAACTGTACTAAAATTGTAAATTTTTCTCTAAATTCTCGAAAATGATGAAAAGCCACAGTAAAGCAGAAAGCACATTTTGTAAAAAAAAAAAAAAAATAGAACAGTGCTATACAAAAATAACAAATGGCAGAATAATGAATATATGATGTTTTATGTGCAAAATCATAGTGTAATTCTCACTAGTGATTAGCACAATGGTTATCTCTATAATACAATAGTCACACAGTCAGACAACCCACTTAGTAAATAATTTAGGCATACCTGTATTGCAAGGGCACGGGCAACAAGACCTCTCAGGTATTGTAAGGGATCTTCTGGGCCTTCCCACTTGCTCTGCCATGCGAGAGGACACTGCAATTTAAAAAGGGTCAAAATTAAGTTTGTGTATATGATACTACATATAGAAGACTACTAACACTAGTGTGATGGAGAAAAATTTTGGCATAATTCACATATACATATGAAATTCATTAAGTTTGATCTCATTAAATTGAACAGTAGAGACAGCATGAATTAATGTTTCTCTAAAAGGAAGGAAAGTACAAGTTCCTGAAAGAATAACAAGATGAACTTAAACTGGCATATAAAAAATAGTCAACCATGTTTTCTTAAACAATATTTACTGCAAATGAAACTCAAATTAAATTTGACAAATTCATTTTATAAGTGGTAAAGATTAAAAAACAACCAGCTTTGGTCCCTACAGAATTTTTTAAAACTATAAATAGAGCAGTATAATGGAAACTTTATTCCCCAACCACATGGAGACATATGAAACAAACAGAAAAAAATAAAAAGGAGTACATGAAATTAAAAATAAATAAAACCCCTCTAAGAACAGCTGCCTTACAAAAGTTATCTAATATTTGACCTTCCAATAAAGGCATTAACCATTAATGCAGACTCTTCACAAGTATTCTTGTAAGGTCATGTTCATTATAATATACCTTTTTGGTGAAGGTTTTCTGGATTTTCTAAATATCACACAAACTTCTCAACATATTATTTTTCTGAAGTGTGGTAATAAGGAGAGAACGTCAATTTTATACCCCAAACACTGTCTGATTACATAGTTAAGAAGCTGCTATGGGCTAGAATATATCAACAATGTATAGAAAATGGGAATTGTAAGATGACCAAATTTAGAGTAGAAAGGACCTTAGAAAACATCGAATCCCTTTACTTTACAGGAATAAAGTAAGCCTTCTTAGGAATGTGATAGATAAGTGCCAGAACTGTGCTTTGATCTAAAACAGGTGTAGTGATTTTGAAACACAACTGCAAATCCTTTGACACTTTGCCTCTTGAGACTTGAGGTCTGTGCTCCTGTCTTCCAATACAGAGAAAGTGATACTATGCCAGTTTCCAAGTCTAGGCTATAAAAAATTGGTTGCTTATATTTCCTGCCTTTCGAGACTTTTAATCTTAGAAGCCAGTTACCATGCTGTGGAGCCCAAACTGTCTTTGGAGAGGCCCATGTGGAGATGAACAGAGACCCCCAGCTCTCAGCCGGCACCAACTTGCTAACCATGAGTGAGCTGTGTGAAGGAGACAAGCTTTCTCTACCAAGCCCTAGTAAATTTCACACTTTTAAGCTAAAAATAAATGATTTTTAAAAAACATTATTTTAAGCCAGTAAGTTTTGGTGAGATTTGTTCTGCAGCAAGACAACCGATAATGATTTTGATACACCAGAGGCAGGGTGCTGCCTTAACAAAATCCTCAATCATATGGCATTGGACTTGAGACTAGGTGATGGGCTGAAGCTGGAGGGATCTTTAGGAGAATGTAAGTGAAAACTTAAAAGGACTTCTAGAAGAATACTAGAGGAAGCCTATGGAGCTTTGAGGACTTAAAAAAAAAAAAAAAGGAAGGAAAAATCTCAGACAACCCTCTGTTAAACAATAGGGCTTCAATAAATCTTAAGGGTGTTGTCCCACAGCTGATGCAAAAGAAGCCTAAGATAGAAAGAAAGGCTTATCTTGAAAAGATTTGTTTGTGGTTTTTGTCTAATGGAGTGAATCTCAATGAGATTCATAGCAAACTCCCAGTTTCAGAAAAACTGTTCTGGTGTAAACTATCAGTTTAGGATTACAGGGTTAGGAGAGGATGCAATTCAAAGAGAACTTGGCTCCAGGGCTTCTATGGGCAGGAAACAGACCGAAAAAACCACTCAGCTGCAAACATGAGCTACATCTTATTGAAATGTATGGATAATTCAGAGGTTAGAATCCAGCGCTCAGAAGGTAAAGCCAAGAGCAATTAATCATTCCTAGGAAACAATACAAAATTCTAATAAAGGAACGGGAAACATGAACTTCCTTGGATTTCAGAATTGCTAAGGACGTTAGCCTTTCCATCTTCCCTTTTTGAATAGGAATGTCTTTGCAGTTACCCTATGCCTGTCCTACCATTTTATATTGGTTTTAAAGGGAACGGGCAACTTGTCACTGTAGTTCACTGGTCTTTAGATGGGAACAATATTTATGCGGTTATTTTTGAGGAATCAAACCCAAAAAGCCTCATCCATACTTTCCCCTGATTTAAATGACAATTTTATCCCTTTAGCCTTAGCCTGATCCTGTAATGAAATGAAACATGTGGAGGAGTCTGGGAGGAGACGGTTGTATTTTGCATGTGAGGAAATGTAAATAATTTCTGCCTAGAGGGCAGACTGTGGCAGTTTTTAAACATGACTCTTAAATTATTTGACACTCCTCTCACTCACAGTTGACTAACAGCTAGCCCATGAGTAACCTTGGAAGCTGAGCCTTGTGAGAAACCCTGAGCCAGAATACTCAGCTAAACCACACTTGGATTCTAGACCCACAAAAACTGTGATATAAGAAATTTCTATTGTTTTATGCCACTAAGACTTAGGGCAATTTATTATTCATCTATAGATGGTTAAGAGAGTTACCAATATTATTGCCAAGTGTAATACATTAATTCAATAGATGTTTAAGTCATTATTCATCCATTCAGCAATTATTTACTATCTACAATGTGCAGATACTATTAACATAAGGTCCTTGCTATTATGGAGCTTACATTTTATAGCGAGATAGATAATATTTACCTATATAAAAAATATTTCATAGTGTTAAATATGTAGAGAATTAAAACATAATAGGTGACATAATAGAAATGATAATGATAGTGATACATGAGATGAATAAAATAAATATAGTATTTAAAGAAATTTAAAAACCAATAAAGGAGATACAAAGCTGAAGTTCCTTGTGGTGCTTTATGAATAAATTATATATCATGTTATTGGAGTTTAGAGGGAAAAAACAATTCAATCAAGGAAGTCTTTAAAAAAGAGGTAGCTATTAAGCTATGCCTTGAAAGTTGTCTTAGATTTGCACAAAGGTAAAAAGAGTCGCAGGAAATTTTTTTAAGCTAATATTTATTGGGTGCTTACTATGTGTTAGTAACTATGGTGAGTGCTTGATACACACCACCTCATATAGTCCTCAAAATAATCCTCAGAAGTGTACTATTAGGTAAGTGCAAAAGTAACTGCAGTTTTTACATTGTTAGAATTTGCTGTTTGATATTGAAATACATTCTTAAATAAATGTAGTTATGTTATACATCATTTTAATGAGCATTTCTCAATTTTTTTTTTGCTGATGACTTATTGCTTGCTGTTTATGGTTATTTTAGACCATGGAAATGATGTTAGGCAAAAAGCAAATTCGAGTGATTTTCTTATTTGAGTTCACAATGGGTCGTAAATCAGTGGAGACAACTGGCAACATCAACAACACATTTGGCCTAGGAACTACTAACGAACATACAGTGCAGTGGTGGTTCAAGAAGTTTTGCAAAGGAGATCCTTGAAGATGAGGACATAGTGGCCAGTTATCGGAAGTTGACAACAACCAGCTGAGAGCAATCATCCAAGCTGATCCTCTTACAACTACAGGAGAAGCTGCAGAAGAACTCAACATCGGCCATTCTATAGTCATTCAGCATTTGAATCAAATTGGAGAGGTGATAAAAGCTTGATAAGAGGATGCCTCATGAGCTAACCAAAAATCGTTGTTTTGAAGTGTTGTCTTCTCTTATTCTACGTAACAACGATGAACTATTTGTCAGTCGGATTGTGATATACAATCAAAAGTGGATTTTATATGACAACCAGCGATGATGAGCTCAGTGGCTGGATCAAGAAGAAGCTTCAAAACACCTCCCAAAGCCAACTTCCACCAAAAAAAGGTCATGGTTGCTGTTTGGTGCTCGGCGGCTGGTCTGATCCACTACAGCGTTCTGAACCCTGGCTTAACTATTACATCTGAGAAGTATGCTCAGCAAATAGCTGAGATGCATCAAAAACTGCAATACCTGCAGCCAGCATTCGTCAACAGAAAGGGCCCAATTCTTCTCTACGACAGTGCCCCACCACAAGTTGAACAACCAATACTTCAAAAGTTGAATGAATTGGGCTACGAAGTTTTGCCTCATTCACCATATTCACCTGACCTCTCCCCAGCTGACTACCATTTCTTTAAGCATCTCAACAACATTTTGCAGGGAAAACACTTCCACAATCAACAGGATGCAGAAAATGCTTTTCAAGAGTTTGTCGAATCCCAAAGGACAGATTATGTTACAGGAATAAACCAACGTATTTCTTATTGGCAAAATGTGTTGATTGTAATGGTTCCTATTTTGATTAATAAAGATGTCTTTGAGCCTAGTTATTAATATAATAACTTAAAATTCATGGTCCAAAACTGCAATTACTTTTGCACCAACTTAATATTATAATTTCCATTTTACAGAAGAGAAAATGTAGACACAAAGAGAATAGCATGTTCAAAAATCACAGAGCTGGCAAATGGCAGATCCAGGATGTAAACCCCCAGGTAACTTGGCTCTAGAGTCCATATCAGCACCAATACTGTCTTTAATAGATCTAATATTTCTATAATGATTTATACATATTAAACCATTTGAGATTCAATGTAAGATAATTAGGTATTGGGAATTAAATTTATAATCATGGAGACATTAAGGCTTACAGTAAGTTTAATCTTAAAGTTTTTTAGTTTTTTTTTTTTTTTTTTAAACTAAATGATAGAGAAGTTGAATCCAGGTCTAACCCTAAATGTAACCTCTTTTCACCATCCCATGCATTTCATGAAAGATGTCACAAAAGCAGAACCGGCTGTAACCAGGGTGTTCATTTGTTAACTCACTCTCTCTCAAATCTCAATTAAGTGATTATGCAGCAAGTATGAGTAAATAGCTGCTATTTGCCAATCATTTGTTAACTGCTGAAGATAGGAAGTCATAACACAATTCTTGTCTACAAAAGCTTATGATAGAAAGGGAAATCAACAATAAAAGAGATGGCTATGGACAATAAATTGAGCTCCCTAATAGCGATAAGCACTGTGATTGTGAACACGAAGGTAGAGTATATCAAATTCAAACTGCGTAGAATGGCAAGAGTTAGGAAAGGCTTTCTGGTGGAGATCATGCTTGAAATGAGTCTCAGAAGGTAAATGAATAGTCTTTTCCTGAGTATCTATAATAGTCAGGTAAAGACAGCAGGGAAAGGAAGAAGCATTAATAAGACATGACAGAAATGGGCTGATGACTTAAGGATGACATCATAAAATTTGTGGTGGTTTATACTAAGGAATTTAAATTTTATCTGGAAAACAATGGTAAAACTAAATCAACCTTTAAGCGAGGAAGTGACACAACAATTTGGATTTTTTTTAAGGATTACCCTAGTAGAAATGGGAAGAACAACATTAGGAAGACGAAACTGCAATCAGGGAGGTGAGTTAAAAATGTACGGTAATATTCTAAACGTGAGTCAATGAAGAACCATGTGAAAATGAGAAAAAGAAGGATAACGATAGCAAACACTTGTATAGCACTTATATGTACAGGCACTGTTATACGCATTTTATCTACATTAAGACTTTTATATCTTACGACAACCCTCGGAAGTGGGTATAATTATTACCATTTCAAATATCTGGAAACTGATGTAGAGAAAGGTTAAGTGACTTGCACAAAAAAACACTCTAGTACAATTGTGGATGTTTTAATTTCCACTCTAGAATCTTAATATGTTTATTGTATGAACCTTAAAAAATGGCCACTTGTAGGAATTTTCCTCCCTTCTCTATTTAATGATGGAATTACTTGTACTACTAACAAATATCACTATCCCACTGGTAAAAATAATAGCTTGTTTCTCAAATAGGAGTGCAATACCAGTAATCCATTATCTGCAGACTATTGAAGTTAAACCAACATTGGATTTTAGGTTCTGAAAATGTCAGAAGAACTTTCATTTGATTCTAGCTTATCACAGTGCCTGAAACAGGGAGACAGCACTGTAACTGCAATTTATTTCAAACACTAGCAGTTGCACAAGGTTTTTATGATGTGTGAAAAAAGACTCAGTTTACAATTTTAAGAAAAGGAGAAGAAATGCAGAGAGGTCACTGTAATTTCAACTTCATATGCAATGATTAACAATAGATACAATTTAAGATTATCACTAACTCCTACACTTGCCATAATTTACAACTCTACGCAATTAATTGAAATAACTAAAACCTATTTCACAAACATACATAATTAGAAATTTATATTTCAGAAGGATAAAGACAAGTTTCAGAGCGAAACAATTTAACAATAAGAGAGCCCTTACTATCTATGCTTAAGAGGAAGTACAACACAGACAATGAGTAATTTGTGATAAAAGTTAGAGCAGATTGTAGTTTAATCTTAACAAGACCTTTGTTCAGCTCCATGGGTACATCACAGTATTTCTGTAGCATTCAATTTTTTTTTTTATCAGTACAGAAAAAGGATTATAAAATGGTACATGAGCAAACTAAGGACTTTCAGATCTAAAAGATTTAATTGAATGATTCTTTTAAAACATAAATCATTTTTTGAATCTATTTTATGTTTTCCCTTCTCAAAGAGGATCTTCTATTACTTGCTTTCTATGAAAAACTAACCTCAGGTTTTTTGTTTTTGTTTTTTTTTTGAGACAGGGTCTCACTCTGTCACCCAGGCTGGAGTACAGTGGCATGATCATGGCTCACTGCAGCTTAGACTTCCCAGGCTCAGGTGATCCTCCTACCTCAGTCTCCCGAGTAGCTGGAACTACAGGCACCCACCACCATACCTGGCTAAATTTTGTATTTTTTGTAGAGATGGGGTTTTGCCATGTTGCCCAGGCTGGTCTTGAACTCCTAGGCTCAAGTGATCTGCCCGCCTTGGCCTCCCAAAGTGCTAGGATTACAGGCGTGAGCCACTGCGCCCAGCCAGATTTTTTCAATTAAAAAAATAGAATGCTTGTTATCTTAAGAGATTACACTGTTATAAAAAGTTAGGAAGGTGGAAACAACCCACATCCATCAATGGATGAATGGATAAACAAAATGTGGCATATACATACAATGGAATATTATTCACCTTAAAAAAGAAAAAAAAATTGATATATGCTACAGCATGGATGTTCCTTGAGGACGTTATACACAGTGAGATAAGCCAGGGACACAAAGACAAATACTGTTATGATTCCACTTAAATGAGGTACCCAAAATACCAGGATTCACAGAGACAGAAAGTAGATGGTGGTTGCCAAGGGCTGGGGAAGGGGTGAATGGGAGCTGTTGTTTAATAGGACAGAGTTTCAGTTTTTCAAGATGAAGAGTTCTGGAAATTAGCTGTACAGCAATGTCAATGTACTTTGCACTACTGAACTGTATACTTAAAAATGGTTAACACAGTAAATTTTGTGTCATGTATATTTTGTCACAGTAAAATAAAAACTTCATTGGGAAAAGGTTAAGAAAGACTACTAATTTCCTTCTGTGAAGTTTTGCTAGCCATCACTGTATGTTAGATAGTTTTTGTTATTTATATTGAGCTCATTGAATATAGACTATGTACTATTCATTTTTCCTATCTCCAGAGCCTCGCATGATATAGACCATGGTAGGTGGGCAATAAATATTTGCTCAGTGTTACTTATTACATCATCCAACTGCAAGCTTTTTCTTATCCACACTCCTCCTTACTCCTCTCTTTCAGATATTCTGAAAAAAAAAAAAAAAGCTCATGTTATAGAGAGACCATATATCCATTTGACTAATGATGCCTGTTGTCCCAGAGTTCCATTCAGGTAGCAAGCTGTTTTACTCTAACAGGGTCCTCAGATTAAAGGTTATTTCTGGGTGTGTCTGTGAGGGTGTTTACAGAAAAGATTAGTATTTGAGACTGAATTATATATATATACTTATATATATATTTCCGTATGCTTTTTATTTTTATATATATTCATATTATAATCTGGTTCTGTTTCTTGGAAGAACTCTAGTACAGTGGAGAATGATAAATTCTACTCAAAATGTGTACAGTTTTTAAAAAGCGATTTAGTTAATATTTGCTGTGGACTGAATGTGTGTGTCCCCACAAGATGCATATGTTGAAATCTTAAGCCCCAATGTGATAATATTAGGAGGCAAGGCCTTTAAGAAGTAATAAGCTCATGAGAATGGAGCAGCCCCTCGTGGTGGGATTAGTGCCCTTGTAAAAAGATATGAGAGGGCTTGCTTTCTCTTTCTTCCCTCCACAGTGTGAAGATACAAGGAAAAGATGGCTATCTGTAAACTTTTATCAGATACCACCAGATCTGCCAGCCCTTTGATCTTGGACTTCCCAGCTTTCAGAACTGTGAGAAATGTCTGTTATTTAAGCTACCTAGTCTACAGTATTTTGTTGTGACAATTTGTCTAAGACAGTATTTGTCTTTTAAAATATGAACAGATTATACTATCTACAGCATGGTATACATTAGGAATACTTATAGTGAAGCTTAGCTCTGGGAAAGACGAAGGTAAGTTTATCATTAAGTATGTTCAGCAAGTAAAATGATAATCTGTAACATTTCTTTCATCTAGTAAAACTACATTGAATGTATATTTACTTCCGTGAAATTTATTGAAATAATATTTACTGACATGTCTTCATGCTATTACATTCCTTGAGAGTTTAAAAAATTGTGGATTATTTGTACATTGTTTTCTGTGATACATTCATTTAGGCCAATATCATGTTGCCATAGTTAAAAGTATGTATGTATGTAGGCATGTTGGGGTTATAATTTCTATTAATATTTTCTCAAAAATTTTAACCAAACATACATCAAGAGTAGAGTTAAATGGGCTCTGTGGGTTTACGTTAACATTTGATCTATAAACATTGTAAAGCTAGTAGTATTGAGTTTTGATTTCCACAATTTAGCACACTAACCATGTTAAATGAGCCGTAACAAGAAACAACACATTTATGAATTTTTATATAGAATTTATTTAAACATAACTACTAATGCAAAATGGCACAAAAATATTTCAATAGTAATTGTTCGTTTCACTTGGTATGGTGGCTATTAATATAAATTAGAACATAAAACAATTACTGAGGCAGTCGCACTAATTTCTGCGCATTAACGCGACCAATCAATCAAATGCTTGAGGTGAAACAAACCTGGGTTCAAGCCCATTAGTTTGTTATATTTTTGATACTAAATTAGCCAGCTATTAACTGAAGCACAAACTAGATAACAATCATCAGTTTAGCCATAGATTTTGTGTGTTTATGTGCATGGATGTTGAAAAATCTTACATATAGTCTTCCAAGCTAACATAGATGTTCAGTAAATTAAATGGAATTTTAGGGTCTAAATAGTATTTAAACTTGTATAGGGTAAAATAAAAATATAACTAAAAATTATTGACAATATTTTCACTCTCAAAAGTTTGTTTACATTTGTAATCCATCAGTCCTACCCCCACCAACTAATTAACAGACAATTGCTAGTATGTTAATACACACTGCTAAGACCAGCTTGGTTGTGGAGATCCTAATCCAGCAAGGCTAGAGGAATTAAAGACACACACACAGAAATATAAAGTGTGGAGTAGGAAATCAGGGGGCTGACAGCCTTCAGAGCTGAGAGCCTCGAACAGAGTTTTACCCACATATTTACTGACAGCAAGCCAGTGATAAGCATTGTTTCTATAGATTATAGATTAACTAAAAGTATTCCTTATGGGAAACAAAGGGATGGGCCAAAACAAAGGGATAGGCTTTGACTAGTTATCTGCAGCAGGAACATGTCTTTAAGGCACAGATTGCTCATACTATTGTTTGTGGTTTAGGAACGCCTTAAGCCATTTTCTGTCCTGGGTGGGCCAGGTGTTCATTGCCCTCATTCTGGTAAACCCACAACCTTCAGCGTGGGCATCATGGCCATCACGTACATGTCACAGTGCTGGCAGAGATTTTGTTTATGGCCAGTTTATGGCCAGATTTGGGGGCCTGTTCCCAACAACATACTAATTTGAATTTTCTAGAATTATGTATATAATGAAATTTATATATATAGTATTTATAAACATTAAACTTTTAAATATTAAACTTTTAACCTTCTTTTTTTTGTTATGTATAATTATTTTGAGATTTATCCAGTAATGTGATTGAACCAGCTCACAAAGGCTAGTGAGAGCCAAGTCTTAAAATTTTATAAATTATTTAAATTCGTTGTTAAATAGCCATTATTTTAAAAGTTATAAATTAAATGTTATTTTAAAACAGTTAACAAATATTCAAACCTCATCTTTTCATATTATTTTACAATTTTTATTATGTTGTGTCCCCTCAGACGTCTTGTTGAAAGCTAATCACTAATGGTATTTGGAGGTGGGACCTCTGGAAGGAAATAGGTTATGAGGGTGAAGGTTATGAGGCTTCACCCTCATAAATGGGATTAATGCTCTTATAATAAGAGGTTAGAGAGCTAGCCTGCACTCTTTCCACCATATGAGGATACAAGGAAAAGTTGGCTGCCTGCAATGTGGAAGGCGGCCGTCATCAGAACCCAACCATGCTGGCACCCGATCTTAGATTTCTCAGCCTTCAGAACTGTAAGAAATAAATGTTTAAGCCACCCAGTCTATCAAAATTTGTAATAGCAACCTGAATAAAGAATGATGTTTATTTAAGCTGGGCCAGGTGGCGCCACCTGTAATCCCAGCACTTTGAGAGGCTGAGGCAAGAGGATCGCTTGACCACAGGGGTTCAAAAACAGCCTGGCCAACATGGTGAGTACCTATCATCTCTACAGAAAATAAAAAAATTAGCCTTGTGTGAGGGCATGTGCCTATACTCCTAGCTACTCAGGAGGCTGAGGTGGGAGGATCTATTGAGCTCAGGAGTTGGAGGTTGCAGTGAGCTAGGAATGTACCACTGTACTCCTGCCTAGGTGACAGAGTGAGACCCTGTCTCTACAAAACAAAACAAGAAATCTGTGTTCAAGATTATGTCTATTGGATATAAGACAGAAGAAATACCGGATAGAAGACATGGATAGAAGAAATACTATAAAATAGTTTGCTACTAGGCATCTCTTCTTAACTCCACATTCATTGACCTTATATTGGTAACTTGAAATCAGTCATGGCAGGAGCATTTGTACCATGGAAATGAGAAAATGCTATATAGATCAAAGTTGCCTCCTCTTTTTTTTTTTTTTTGGAGAGCCAGTTTTTAAACATTTGCCAGCAGAACACTGGGTGTATCCATGTAGTTGCATAAATCAAATAGTCATTGTTTGAATTTCTGAGTAGCACTCCAATTTTATGGATATAACAAAAATTTATCATTTCACCTCTTGAATGTTGAGCTGTTTCTAGTTTTTGACTCTTAAAAATTAAGTTGCTTTGAACATTCACAAATAAGTATTTGTATGGCATATGCTTTCGTTTCTCTTGGGTCAATATTCACGAGTGATATAGTGGGCAAATATGTTAAGTATATGTTTAACCTTATAAGAAAAAGCTAAACTATCAGCAATATCTGAAAATTCAAGTTGTTCCTGATCCATATCAACACTTGGTACCATTTGGCTTTTTAATTTAAGCTATAAACCAATCAAGCTAGTGTGCAGGGCTATCTCATTGTGATTTAAAAAATGTTTTTACTGATATATAATTAATATACCATCAAAGTCACCTCTCTAGAGTGTATGATTTAGTGGGTTTTAATATATTCACAAGGTTGTACAAGCATAACCACTAATTCCAGAATATTTTTATCAATCCCCCAAAATACTCTGGATCCATGCAGTCATTCTCCCTTTCCCCCTAAACAAAGGATGGTTTTCCATTTACTTAAGTAGTCTTTAATTTCTTTCAATGATGTTGTGTAGCTCTCAGTGCACAAGTCTTGATCTCCTTTTGTTAAATTTATTCCCATCTACTTCATTCTTTTCAATGCTATTATAAGTGGAATTAAGTTCTTAATTTCATTTTGGGTACTGTGAGTGCCATATACTAGGATTCATTGCTATTATACAGAAATACAACTGATCTTTATATATTGATATTCTCATTGCAGTTCTGATATTCCTAATGACACCTACATTTTTATGTGCTTCTTTCCCATCCACAAGTCTTAATAAAATATCTATACAATTTTTTTTTGCATTTTTATAATTGAGATGTTTATTGAGTTTTTTGAAAAAATCTAGCTGTAGGTTCCTTTGTTAAGTATATGTCTTGAAATTATTTTCTCCTATTCTGTGGCTTGCTTTTCATTTTTATAAGTGTCTTTTAAAGAGAAGGTTAAAATTTTGGTAAAGTCCAATGTATCACTTTTTCTTTTTATAGTTCATTTTTGGTGTCCTATTTAAGAAATCACTGTCAAACACAAAGTCACTAAAAAATTTTAGTGAAGTTTTATTAATGTTTATGATTACTTTGGGGATAATTTTTGTATATCTTTGGAGACACAGTTGCAGGGTTTTTTTTTTTTTTTTTTTTTTTTTTTTTTACTTTTTTGGCTTTTGGCTATTTAATTACTCTAGTACCATTTGTTAAAGAGATTTTCCTTTTCTTATTTAATTACCTTAGCCTATTGGTGAAAATCAATTGATTATATATTTCGGGGTCTATCTGGATTCTTATTCCATTCCACTGATCTCCACTGATTCCTTCCATTCCATTGATCCATTCCAATCCATTGATTAATGGATTCCATTCCACTGATCTTCATTCCATTGATTTCCATTTCATTGATCTCTGTATCTGGCTTTATGCCAATGCCACAGTATTTTGATGACAATATCTTCATAATGTTTGAAATCACAAAGTGTAAGACCTTCCATTTTTTTCTCGTTTTCATAAAACGGTCTACAGTAGACCCTTTGCATTTTTGCAAAAAGAAAAAAAAATAGACTCAAATTGCCAATACTTACAAAAAAATCCTGCAGAGGTATTCCTAGCTTTTGGGTTGAGATTATGGAGTTTTCTAGATATAGGATCATGTCATCTGCAAACAAAAACAATTTGACTTCCTCTCTTCCTATTTGAGTACCATTTATCTCTTTCTCTTTCCCAATTGCCCTGGCTAGAACTTTCAATACTATGTTGAATAGGAGTGGTGAGGGAGGGCATCCTTGTCTTGTGCCAGTTTTCAAGGGGAATACTTCCCACTTTTGCCCATTCATTATTACATCACTATGGGTTTGTCATATATGGCTCTCTATCCTGAGATATGTTCCTTCAATACCTAGTTTATTGAGAGTTTTTAACATAATAGGATGCTGAATTTTACAGAAGGCCTTCTGTGCATCTATTGAGATAATCATGTGTTTTTTGTCTTTCATTCTGTTTATGCAATGAAACACATCTATTGATTCGCATATGTTGAACAAACCTTGCATCCCAGGGATGAAGCCAACTTGATCACGGTGGATAAGCTTTTTGATGTGCTGTGGGATTTGGTTTGCCAGTATTTTATTGAGAATTTTTACATGGATGTTCATCAAGGATATTGGCCTAAAATTTTCTTTTTTTGTTGTCTCTGCCAAGTTTTGGTGTCAGCATGATGTTGGCTTTATAGAATAAGTTAGGGAAGAGTCTTTCCTTTTCAATTTTTTGGAATAGTTGCAGTAGAAACGGTACCAGCTCTTCTTTGTACCTCTGGTAGAATTCAGCTGTGAATCCATCTGGTCCTGGGCCTCTTTTGGTGGTAGGCTACTTATTACAGCCTCAATTTCAGAATTCATTATTGGTCTATTCAGGGATTCAATTTCTTCCTGCTTCAGTCTTGGGAGGGTGTATGTGTCCAGGAATTTATCCATTTCTTCTAGATGGCCTGGTTTATGTGTATAGACGTGTTTATAGTATTCTGTGATAGTTGTTTGTGTTTTTCTGTGGCATGAGTTGTGATATCTCCCTTATCATTTCTGATTGTGTTTATTAGATTCTTCTCTCTTTTCTTCTTTATTATTCTAGCTAGTGGTCTATTTTGTTATAAAAAAAAAAAACCAGTTCTTGGATTCTTTGATTTTTTTCTAAAGGCTTTTTAAAGTTCAGCTCTGATCTCGGTAATTTCTTGTCTTCTGCTAGCTTTGCAGTTTGTTTGCTCTTGGTTCTCTAATTCTTTTAGTTGGCATGTTAGGTTGTTAACTTGAGATCTTTCCAGCTTTTTGATGTGGGCATTTAGTACTATAAATTTCCTGCTTAACACTGCTTTAGCTGCATCCCAGAGATTCTGCTACATTGTCTCTTCATTCTCATTAGTTTCAAAGAATTTCTTGATTTCCACCTTAATTTCATTATTTACCCAAGAGTCATTCAGGAGCAAGTTGTTCAATTCCCATGTAGTTGTGGTGTTTTGAGTTAATTTCTTAATCTTGAGTTCTAATTTGATTGCATTGTGGTCTAAGAGACCGTTTGTTATGATTTCAGTTCTTTTGCATTTGCTGAGGAGAGTTTTAATTTCAATTAATTATGTGATCAATTTTATAGTATGTACCATGTGGCAATGAGAAGAATGTATATTCTGTTGTTTTTGGGTGGAGAGTCGTATAGATATCTATCACATCCACCTGATCCTTAGCTGAGTTCAGGTCCTGAATATCTTTGTTAATTTTCTACCTCGATGGTCTAATATTGTCAATGGTTAAAGTCTCCCACTATTGTGTGGGAGTCTAAGTCTCTTTGTAGGTTTCTAAGAACTTGCTTTATGAATCTGGGTGCATATCTATTTGAGATAGTTAGCTCTTCATGTTGAATTGAGCCCTTTACCATTATGTAATGTCCTTCTTTGTCTTTTTTTAATCTTTGTTGGTTTGAAGTCTGTTTTGTCAGAAACTAGGATTGCAACCCCTGCATTTTTCTGTTTTCCATTTGCTTGGTAAATTTTCTTCCCTGCCTTTATTTTGAGCCTATGTGTGTCTTTGCACGTGAGGTGCATCTCTCGAGGACAGCATACCAATGGGCCTTAGTTCTTCATACAGCTTGCCACTCTGTGTCTTTTAATTGGAGCATTTAGCCCACTTCCTTTTAAGATTAGTACTGTTATGTGTGACTTTCATCCTGTTACCATGATGTTAGCTGGTTATTTTGCATACTTGTTTATGTGGTTTCTCCATAGTGTCACTGGTCTGTGTTCCTCAGTGTGTTTTTGTAGTGGCTGGTAACAGGTTTTCATTTCTATATTTAGTGCTTCCTGCAGGAGCTTTTGTAAGGCAGGCCTGGTGATGACCAATTCCCTCAGCATTTACTTGTCTGAAAAGGATCTTATTTCTTCTTTGCTTATGAAGCTTGGTTGGCCAGATATGAACTTCTGGGTTAAATATTCTTTTCTTTAAGAATGTTGAATATTGGCCCCCAATCTCTTATGGCTTGTAGGGTTTCTGCTGAGAGATCTATTGTTAGTCTGATGGGCTTCCCTTTGTGAGTGACGTGTCCTTTCTCTGTGACTGCCCTTAATACTTTTTCTTTTATTTCAACCTTGGAGAATCTGATGATTATGTGTCTCAGGGTTGATCTTCTTGTAGAGTATCTTACTAGGGTTCTCTGCATTTCCTGAATTTGAATGTTGGCCTGCCTTGCTATGCATCTTGGGGTTGATCTTCTTGTTAAGTATCTTACTAAGGTTCTCTACATTTCTTGAATTTGAATGTTGGCCTGTCTTGCTAGGTTGGGGAAGTTCTCCTGGATGATATCCTGAAATATGTTTTCCAAGTTGGTTCCATTCTCCCCAGAATGGATCTCTTCCAGATATCCTAGTCAGTCAGAGGTTAGGTCTCTTTACATAGCCCCATATTTCTCGGAGGTTTTATTCATTCCTTTCCATTCTTTTTTCTCTATTCTTGTCTGCCTGTCTTGTTTCAGAAAGACAGTCTTCAAGCTCTGAGATTCTTTCCTCTGCTTGGTCTATTCTGCTATTGATACTTCTGATTGCATTGTGAAGTTCTCGTGTTGTGTTTTTCATCTTCATCAGGTTGGCTATGTTCCTCTCTAAACTGGCTATTCTGGCTCTCGGCTCCTGAATGGTTTTACCATGATTCTTAGCTTCTTTGCATTGGATTATAACATGCTCCTTTAGCTCAGCAAATTTCGTTATTACACACCTTCTGAAGCCTACTTCTGTCAATTCCGCCATCTCAGCCTCAGCCCAGTTCTGTGCCCTTGCAGTAGAGGTGTTGCAGTCATTTGGAGGAGAAGAGGCACTCTGGCTTTTCAGTTTTTGGTGTTGTTGCATTGATTCTTTCTCATCTTTGTGGGCTCATCTATCTTTGATCTTTGAGGTTGCTGACCTTTGGGGTTTTTGTAGGGTCTTTTATTTTAAATATTGTTTTCTGTGTGGTTTTTTTTTTTTTAACCAGTCAGGCCACCCTTCCACAAGGCTGCTGTGGTTTGCTGGGGGTCCACTCTAGACCCTAGTTGCCTTGATTTTTCCTGTATCTGGAGGCATCACCAGTGAAGGCTGTGAAACAGCAGAGATGGCAGCCTGCTCCTTCCTCTGGAAGCTCTGTCCCAGCGGGATAATGACTGGTTGTCAGCCCAAATGTGCCTGTAGGAGGTATCTGGAGACTCCTGTTGGGAGGTCTCATCCAGTCAGGAGGAATGGGATCACGGAACCACTTAAAGAATCAGTCTGGCTCATTTTTGTAGAGCAAGTGTGCTGCATTGAGGGGGGACCCTTCCTCATCTGGACTGTTTGTATTCTCCCAAGCCAGCAGGCTGGAATGGCTAAGTCTACCAAATCGCAGAGACGGCCGCCACCCCTACCCCAAGAAACTTGTTCCTGCCTCAGGCAGACTCCAGCCTGTTGCTGTGGGCTGGCCAGAATTCCAGGCCAGTGGGTCTTACCTTGTGAAGTGCCATGGAAGTGGGCCCTGCAGAATGACGCTGCTTGGCTCCCTGAATTCAGCCCCCTTCTTTAGGGATATATACAGGTGGACTCTTTCCTTGCTGGGTAGCACAGGACTGGAGTATGTAAAACTCCTGGGCCTGTGTGTGTGTACCTGAGCAGCTGCTGTGCAGACTCCACACAGCTCTGTGTTTCGGACCCAAGGCCCTGGTGGTGTGGGCTCATGAGGGGATATCCTCATCTATGGGTTGCAAAGATGTGTGGGAGAAATGTGGTTTCCCAGGTGGGGTCGAACAATCACTCACTGCTTCCCTTGGCTGGGGATGGGGGTTCCTTTGGCTCCATGCCACTCCCAGGTGGGCCATTACCCCACACTGCTTTTCTTTGTTCTCTGTGAGTTCTTTGCCTTGTCATTTCCAATGCGAGAACATGGATATTTCAGTTGAAGGTGCTGAATTCACTTGCCCTTTCATTCCTCTCCATAGTGCCACAGACTGCAGCTGCTTCTAATTGGCCATCTTAGAACTAACATTTTAACACTAGGTCTCTTGATCCACAAGCACAGTACATCTTTCAATGCATCTTTCCATATATTTAGGTCTTCTTCAATTTCACTAGTCAACATTTTATAGTTTTCAGTGTGTAGAAAGGTAATGCACATAATATTTTTAAATTTCAATTTTCAATAATTTGTTTTCACATATAGAGCTACAATTAAGTTTTTATATATTTACCTTATATCCCACAATCTTGCTAAACAAACTCTTACTAGCTCTAAATCTTTTTTGTAGATTCCTTAAGATTTTGTAAATAGATGATAGTATCCTCTGCAAATAAAGGCAGGCTTCCTTCTTTCTTTCCAATCTGCATGACTTGTATTTATTTTTCTTAATATTTTTACTAGCTAGGATATGTGGTGCAACATTGAATAGAAGTGGAGCTTAATGCCTCATTCCTGATCATAAAAGGAAAGCATATAGTCTTTTACTGTCATATTAGTTGTATCTTTTTCATAGATGCCCTTTCATCTGGCTGTAGAGGTTCACTTCTAATCTTAGTTTGCTAAAGTTTTTTTTTTTTTTTAATCACGACTAGCTGTTAAATTTTTCTAATGATTTTTCTGTATTGAGATAATGTTACAATTTTTCTTTATGAGTCTATTATGGTAAATAACATTGATCAATTTTTTTTTTTTTTTGAGATGGAGTCTCGCTCTGTTGTCCAGGCTGGACTGCAGTGGTGCAATCTTGGCTCACTGCAACCTTTGCCTCCCGGGTTCAAGCAATTCTCCTGCCTCCGCCTCTTGTGTAGCTGGAATTACAGGCACGTGCCATCATGCCCAGCTAATTTTTGTATTTTTAGTAGAGACACGGTTTCACCATGTTGGTCAGACTGGTCTCGAAATCCTGACCTCTGATCTGCCTGCCTTGACCTCCCAAAGTTTTGGGATTACAGGCGTGAACCACCACGCCTGGCCAACACGGATCAATTTTTAAAATGTTAGCCTACACTAGTATTGTGGGGATGATGCATTATCCATTTTACATTTTGTTGGATTCAATTTACTAATATCTTGTAAGAAGTTTAGTGTTTGTGATTATGTGCATGAAGCAAATTTGTGAAGGGTTTTCACCTATAATGTCTTTGTTGGCTTTTTAAAAATCACTTTATTGGGCCAGGTGTGATGGCTCACGCCTGTAATCCTAGCAATTTGGGAGGCTGAGGCAGACAGATCATGAGGTCAAGAGATCGAGACCATCCTGACCAACATGGTGAAACCCCCCTGACCAACATGGTGAAACCCCGTCTCAACTAAAAATATAAAAATTAGCTGGGTGTGGTGGCATGCGCCTGTAGTCTCAGCTACTTGGGAGGCTGAGGTAGGAGAATGGCTTGAACCCAGGAGGCGGATGTTGCAGTGAGCCCAGATTGTGCCACTGTACTCCAGCCTGGCGACAAAGAAAGACTCCATCATTCTAACTGGTGTGAGATGGTATCTCATTGTGGTTTTGATTTGCATTTCCTTAATGACCAGTGATGATGAGCTTTTTTTCATAAGTTTGTTGGCCACATAAAGGTCTTCTTTTGAGAAGTGTCTGTTCATATCCTTTGCCCACTTTTTGATGGGGTTGTTTTTTTCTTGTAAATTTGTTTAAGTTCCTTGTAGATTCTGGATATTAGCCTTTTGTCAGATGGGTAGATTGCAAAAATTTCTCCCCATTCTATAGGTTGTCTGTTCACTCTGATGATAGTTTCTTTTGCTGTGCAGCAACTCTTTAATTAGATCCCATTTGTCAATTTTGGCTTTTGTTGCCTTGCTTTTGGTGTTTTAGTCTGAAGTCTTTGCCAGTGCCTATGTCCTGAATGGTATTGCCTAGGTTCTGGGTTTTACATTGAAGTTTTTAACCCATATTGAGTTAACTTTTGTATAAGGTGTAAGGAAGGGGTCCAGTTTGTTTTCTGTATATGGCTAGCCAGTTTTCCCAGCACCATTTATTAAAAAGGAAATCCTTTCCCCATTGCTCGTCTTTTGTCAGGTTTGTCAAACATCAGATGGTTGTAGATATGTGGCATTATTTTTGAGGTCTCTGTTCTGTTCCATTGGTCTATAATCTGTTTTGGTTACTGTAGCCTTGTAGTATAGTTTGAAGTCAGGTAGCTGATGCCTCCAGCTTTGTTCTTTTTGCTTAGGATTGTCTTGGCTATACAGGCTCTATTTTGGTTCCATATGAAACTTAAAAGTAGTTTTTTCTTTTTTATTATTAATTATTATTATTATAGTTTAAGTTCTAGGGTACATGTGCACAAAGTGCAGGTTTGATACATAGGTATATATGTGCCATGTTGGTTTGCTGCACCCATCAACTCATCATTTACACTGGGTATTTCTCCTAATGCTATCCCTCCCTCAGCCCCCCAGCCTGGGACAGGCCCTGGTGTGTGATGGTTCCCTTCCTGTGTCCAGGTGATTTCAATGTTCAATTCCCACCTATGAGTGAGAACATGTGGTGTTTGGTTTTCTGTCCTTGTGATCATTTGCTGAGAATGATGGTTTCTAGCTTCATTCCATGTCCCTGCAGAGGACATGAACTCATCCTTTTTATGTCTGCATAGTATTCCATGGTGTATATGTGCCACATTTTCTTAATCCAGTCTATCATTGATAGACATTTGGGTTTGTTCCAAGTCTTTACTATTGTGAATAGTGCAGCAATAAACATATGTGCGCATGTGTCTTTATAGTAGCATGATTTATAATCCTTTGGATATATACCCAGTAATGGGATGGCTGGGTCAAATGGTAATTCTAGTTCCAGATCCTTGAGGAATCGCCACACTGTCTTCCACAATGGTTGAACCAGTTTACAGTCCCACCAACAGTGTAAAAGTGTTCCTATTTCTCCACATCCTTTCTAGCATTGGTTGTTTCCTGACTTTTTAATGATCGCCATTCTAACTGGCATGAGATGGTATCTCATTGTGGTTTTGATTTGCATTTCTCTGATGACCAGTGATGATGAGCGTTTTTTTATGTGTCTGTTGGCTGCATAGATGTCTTCTTTTGAGAAGTGTCTGTTCATATCCTTTGCCCACTTTTTGATGGGGTTTTTAACGAGTTCTTTGTAGATTCTGGATATTAGCCCTTTGTCAGATGAATAGATTGCAAAAATTTTCTCCCATTCTGTAGGTTGCCTGTTCACTCTGATGGTAGTTTCTTTTGGTGTGCAGAAGCTCTTTAGTTTAATTAGATCTCATTTGTCAATTTTGGCTTTTGTTGCATGCCATTGCTTTTGGTGTTTTAGTCATGAAGTCCTTGCCCATGCCTATGTCCTGAATGGTATTGCCTAGGTTTTCTTCTAGGGTTTTTATGGTTTGAGGTCTAACATTTAAGTCTTTAATCCATCTCGAATTAATTTTTGTATAAGGTGTAAGGTAGGGATCCAGTTTCAGCTTTCTACATATGGCTAGCCAGTTTTCCCAGCACCACTTATTAAATAGGGAATCCTTTCCCCATTGCTTGTGTTTCTCAGGTTTGTCAAAGTTTTTTCTAATTCTGTGAAGAAAGTCAATGGTAGCTTGATGGGAATAGCACTGAATCTATAAATTACTTTGGGAAGTACTGCCATTTTCATGATATTGATTCTATGGTGGTACATAAGCATGGAATTTTTTTTCTATTTGTTTGTGTCCTGTCTTATTTCCTTGAGCAGTGGTTTTATCGTTCTTCTTGAAGTGGTCCTTCACATTCTTGAAAGTTGTATTCTTAGGTATTTTACTCTCTTTGCAGCAATTGTGAATGGGAGTTCACTCATGATTTGGCTCTTTGCTTGTCTATTATTGATGTATAGGAATGCTTGTGAATTTTGCACACTGATTTTGAATCCTGAAATTTTGCTGAAGTTACTTATTAGCTTAAGGAGTTTCTGGGCTGAGATGATGGGGTTTTCTAAATCTACAACCATGTCACCTGCAAACAGAGACAATGTGACTTCTCTCTTACTATCTGAATATCCTTTATTTCTTTCTCCTGGGTTCAAACAATTCTTCTGCCTCAGCCTCCCGAGTAGCTGGGATTACAGGCACGTGCCACCAAGCCCAGCTAATTTTTGTATTTTTAGTAGAGACAGGGTTTCACCATGTTGGTCAGGCTGGTCTTGAACTCCTGACCTCGTGATCCATGTGCCTCGGCCTCCCAAAGTGCTGGGATTACAGGCGTGAGCCACTGCGCCCAGCAGTGGTGAATTTATTTCAAGGAATTTGTGTATTTCACCTAAGTTGTTGAATTTGTAGGCATAAAATTATTAATAACATTCCCTTAATATCCTTTTAATGTCTGTAGGAAATGCAGTGATGTCCTGTCTCTAATTCCTGATACTTGTAATTTCTGACTTTTTATTTCCTGATCTTGCTTTTGTATTAATTGATAAAGGTTATGTTTCCATCTTATGTCCTATTTTGGCTCATTATGCATACCTCTTTGGTACTTTCATTTTTATCATTGTGTTATGACTTATGTACACATCTTTAACTTACCACAGTTTACTTTCAAATAATAATGATAAAACTTCTTTTAGCATGGCATAAAGTCCTTACAATAATGTACTTCTGTTTTTATTTGCTAAATGAATGAAAAAGGACAAACAAAAGGACAAGCTCTGGAAGTTAAAATCTCTTGCTAAAAAAGAGAAAGTGTATTCTATTAACTTGGGATGATGATATTAAGTTAGGGATATAAAGGAAAATTCCAAAAGATTAAAGATTCTTGTTATATGCAGGCCCCTTTTTTCCCTTAAATCAATAAAAATTGATTTACATTATAAGTACATATAATAAAATGTTGCTAAGTAAAGCTATAGATGAGGGAGTAGGCAGAGTTCCATCCCAGTATTTGATAGGCCTTTGAAGATGAGTATATGCAGTTCAGTTCAAACAAACAAAGCTGATAACTGCATCTTATAACAAACACTATAATTTAGCTGCTTGATCTAGCAAAATATTTAATGAGCAGTAAGGTGGAAAGAACTCTGATCTAGGAATCACAACATCAGAATTACAGTACAGGCTTTAATGCTCTACCAGGATGTAACTCTTTCACAGTCTTCTTAAGTAAAAGCAGGATGAGAGTATCAAATTTCATAAGGGCTACTAAAGTTCTGCATAAATAGTAAACTGTTATTTAACATAAATATTATGTTTTAAAACATGAGGTAATACCTTAAATGAAAAAAATACAAATTATTCAACGTTTATAATTATTTGTTAAAATAGTTGGAGTAGAACTTTCCTAAGAACTAATTTGCAGGCAAGTAAACAATAAAAATAGGCTTTTAACAAAAAATAAGGTCCCCAGTCATTTTATAAAGATCCATGGTGGATGTAGTCATAAATGTTCACAAAGTGTAGTGGAGATAGATGGAAAGGTGACATGGCAGGTACTGCCTTTTTGGATGTGAATTCTGACTGCAGTATTTCCCCAAAGTTGACACGCACCTCAAGAGCTTGATAAAACAAATTGCAAGTAAACACACTGGGAGTTTCTGATTCAGTAGTCTGGAGGGTAGGTGGGGGGTGGTACAAGAATTCATATTTCTGCCAAGGTCTCAGGTGATGCTAATGATATTGGTCTGGAGACCACACTTTGAGAACCACTCCTACAAAGAGGGCCATGGTAGAGGAAAGGAGTGAAAGTGAAAGGAATAACCAGGATAGCAAAGAAGATATTAACTTCATACATCTCAAAATTATATAATAAAGTTCTATATGTATATGTATGAACATATTTTAAGAAAGTACATCCTTCCTCTTCAATTTTTAAGGTGGTCAGTGATCAAAAAATGATTTCAAAATGATTAAACAGTTTTGAAAATTATTAAAAGACACAGGATCCACTAGCATTTTTGCCATATTGCTGAAGGACTCCCTGGTTTAAAAAATTGAAGAGCCATTTAGTGTTACCAGCTTGCATGTTAGAATACACAGAAATGTATAACCAATAGATATGTTGGCTTTAAAAGGGGTTCAATTAATCAATACAACCTATTAATTTCTACTAAAATGGTACATTCTCTTAGTGATTATTCAGTAAGATAAAGCAATTTGGCATTTGCACCTTTGTAATTTTTGCTGTATATTTTAAATTATGTTTTAAAGTCTATGTTCTAACATGTAGAAGATAACTATTTTACAATATTGTTTTCTTTAAAAAGCAAATTATAAATATTGTGTATTTAAAAAAGTTTTAGCAGATCATCATAAGTTATCAAAGAAATAAAAGTCATTATTCTCTCTAGGAAATTTCCTACTCCAATCGTGTCACACATAGTAAAGAAAATGTCAAGTACTGAACTCTTTCCTAAAGCACATTAAATCGTATGGCATCATACATAACTTGTCACATTCAAATGTAACAAAAATTTAACAAAAATTTAACTTTTATTTTGAAATAAATGGGGTAGTACTGAATTCTCAGTTTTTGTTAAAACTCATTAGAAAGTAAATGTCAGAAAGTGTTTTACTGATCTGATCTTAGTGAAAGTCAGACTAGTCTCATTTGCATTTCATCAAACAGCCTAAACGATTTCTAAGAATACCACCTGTGACAGAATTTAAACATGCTTTGTAAAACACATTTTTCATACTTTGAAAGAATTTTAACAAATTCATTTTCATGCAAATAATACAAATATTTCAAAAATAGTGATATTTTCTGAGGCTGCATTTCTTAATTCAAAGTATAATATAGAATACTTTATATATTGAAATTATCTGCATCCTACATAAATACATGTTAATTAAGAAATAAGCCATCCAGTTTTGTTGCTGTGTGAAATAATGAAATACTTAGTAGATCTTGGTTGAAAGAAAGAAAAAATATAAAAATTAAAAATGTATGACCCCTTTCTAAAATATTTTGGTCTTAAAAAATTGTTTCATATAATTAAGCCCTTTTTGTTCTTTATCTTTCAACATAATCTAAGCCACATTATATTATAATCATAGAAAATGATTTAAAGTTAAATTATCCTTTTTTTTTCAAGTGTTTATGCCACAGGTCACCGAGATAATTAACAGCAGAAACAAAACAAGAAACCAAATTTGCCCAGAAATCATATTTTAATCATGAGTACCTCAACGGCTACCCCTCGATTGATATAATTTTCCTAACAATCTGAAAACCCTACTAAACAAAGCCTCCATTTTATACAATAAGCACAACAACCAATTTCCCACCCTAATACTGATATGATACCTTGAATACACCCTTCTGAAAGCGCTACCTTATATATCATAGCCTAAATCAATTATACCCTAATTATGAGTAACCCCCAACTAAACCTCTGCCAACTCAACTTTAAACCACTGGATTTCTAGAACTGTAAATGACGGTTTATACTTACTTATTTCTTCTTTCCTCATATTCTAATTAACTTTACGCTGAAGTATTTATGCAGTTAATGTAGCTTAATTATTTAAAGGAAGACACTGAAAATGTCTAGATGGGTTTGCACAACCCCATAAACAGATAGGTTTGGTCCTGGTCTTTACACATGCAAGCATCCCCACCCCAGTGAAAAATGCCCTCTACATCACCCGGATCAAAGGAGCAAGTATCAAGCATGCACAAATGCAGCTCAAAATACTTTGCTCAACCACACCCCCACGGGAAACAGCAGTGATAAATATTTAGTAATAAATGAACGTTTAAGCTATACTGATATATAGGGTTGGTCAATTTCGTGCCAGCCACTGTGGCCATACAATGAACCCAAGCTATACAATTAACCCAAGCTAATAGAACTCAGCGTAAAGAGTGTTTAAGATCTGCCCTCAATAAAGCTAAACTCCATTTAAGTTGTAAAAAACTTAGGCTGAAATAAAACATACTACGAATGTGGCTTTAATATCCTGAAGACACGACAGCTAAGATCCAAACTGGGGTTAGATACCCCACTATGCTTAGCCCTAAACTATAATAGTTATATTAACAAAACCATTCGCCAGAATACTAGAAGCAATAGCTTAAAACTCAAAGGACTTGGCGGTGCTTTATATCCCTCTAGGGGAGCCTGTTCTATAATCTATAAACCCCGATCTACCTCACCACCTCTTGCCCCCAGCCTATATACCGCCATCTTCAGCAAACCCTAAAAAGGTTATAGAGTAAGCACAAGTAATACACATAAAAACATTAGGTCAAGGTGTAGCTCATGAGGTGGGAAGAAATGGGCTACATTTTCTATACCCAGAAAATCTCACGACAACCTTTATGAAATCAAAAGACTCAAGGAGGATTTAGCAGTAAACCAAGAGTAGAGTGCTTGGTTGAATAAGGCCATGAAGCACACACACACTGCCTGTCACCTTTCCAAATACTATTCTAGAAATCCCTATTACTAAAATCTCTCTACACACGTATAGAGGAGATAAGTTGTAACATGGTAAGCATACTGGAAAGTGCATTTGGACAAACCAAAGTGTAGCTTAATCCAAAGTACCCAGCTTACCCCTGGAAGATTTCATCATGACCTGATCACTTTGAGCCAACTCTCACTCCAAACCTCACTAAAGACATTATCAAATAATCTTAAACCATTTATCTTATATAAAGGTATAGGCGATGGAAATTTTATCCTGGCACAATAGACATAGTACCATAAGGGAAAGATGAAAGAACTGAATCAAGCATTAAAAAGCAAAGACAAACCCTTATACCTTCTGCATAATGTATTAACTAGAAATAACTAACTTTACACAGAGACCCATAGCCAAGTCCCCTGAAACCAGACAAGCTACCCAAGAACAGCTGAAGAGCACACCTACCTATGTGGCAAAATAGTGGGAAGATTCATGAGTAGCAGTGACAAACCTACCGAGCCTGGTGATAGCTGGTTGTCCAAGATAGAATCTTAGACAACTCCCTATACCAGATCCTCTAATTAATTTTAATAAAGGCCTTCTATTTATACTAGCCACATCAAGCCTAGCCGTCTACGTACCCACAGAATTACTTAGTCCCCTGTAAGTTTAACTGCTAGTCTGAAGAGGGACAGATCTTTAGACCCTAGGAAATAACCTTCCTCCAGAGAGTAAACATTATTACCACCATAGTTGGCCCAAAAGCAGCCACCAATTAAGAAAGCATTCAAGCTCAACATCTATTTTAAATTCTAATCACTCTACTGAACTCCTAACATTACGTTGGACTAATCTATTACTTAATAGAAGCAATAATGTTAATATAAGTAACATGAAGATATCCTCCATCACATAAGCTTACATCAAACCGGAATAACCCACTGACCGTTAACAGCCTAATATTAATAAGTGATACAATAAGCACCTTATTATTTATACTGTTAATCCAACAAAGGTATTCTTGAAGGAAAGGTTACAAAAAGTAAAAGGAACTCGGCAAATCTTACCCTGCCTGTTTACCAAAAACACCACCTCTAGCATTACCAGTATTAGACATGTCCCCAGTGACATATGTTCAACAGCTGTGGTATCCTGACTGTGCAAAGGTAGCATAATCACTTGTTCTCTAAATAGGGACTTGTATAAATGGCCACACGAGGCTTCAGCTGTCTCTTACTTTTAATCAGTGAAACTGACCTATCCGGCGGGATATAAACAAGATGAGAAGACCCTATGGAGCTTTAATTCATTAAGGCAAATAGAAACTCGCCCTAACCCATTACCATTGCATTAAAAATTTTGGCTGGGGTGACCTTGGAGCATAATTTAACCTCCGAACAACCTAAACTAAAATGGCACTAGTCTAAGCGAGTTAACATATATTGACCCAATAATTTAACTGAACAAGTTACCCTACGGATAACAGTGTAATCCTATTCTAGAGTCCATATAGACAATAGGGTTTACGACCTCAATGTTGGATCAGGACATCCTAATGTAGCTGCTATTAAGGGTTCATTTGTTCAACAATTAAAGTCCTATGTGATCTGAGTTTAGACTGGAGTAATCCAGGTCGGTTTCTATCTATTTAATATTTCTGCTAGTACGAAAGGACAAGAGAAATAGGGCCTACTTCATAAAGCAACCTCGCCTCATAGATGATACTATCTCAATCAAACAAATCATCACACATCCAACCCGAGAACAGGGTTTAAGATGGTAGAGCCCGGTAATTGCATAAAACTTTATAAATCAGAGGTTCAACTCCTCTTCTTAACAATATGCCTGTAATTAACCACCTCCTATTTATTATTCCCACTATAATTGCTATAGCATTCCTTACATTCATTGAACAAAAAATCTTAGGCTATATACAACTACGCAAAGGATCTAACACTGTAGGCTCCTACGGACTGCTTCAACCATTTGCTGATGCAATAAAACTTTTCACCAAAGAACCCTTATGACCCTCAACATCTACCGTTACCCTTTATATTACTGTTCCAACCCTGGCCCTTTCTATCGCTCTCCTCTTGTGAACTCACCTCCCTATACCGGATCCTCTTATTAATTTTAAATAAAGGCCTCCTATTTATACTAGCCACATCAAGCCTAGCCATCTATTCTATGATCAGGATGAGCATCTAATTCAAATTATGTACGAATCAGTGCATTATGAGCTGTAGCCCAGACAAATTTCATATGAAGTCACCCTAACCATTATCCTATTATCAGTTCTGATAAGTGGCTCATTTAACTTATATGCACTCATCACAAAGCAAGAATTCCTCTGACTACTCCTACCATCATGGCCCCTAGCCATAATCTGATTTATCTCCACACTAACAGAAACTAACTGGGGCCCTTTTGAGCTAACAGAAGGAGAATCAGAGCCTCAGGCTTCAACATCAAATATGCTGCAGGTTCATTTGCCCTCTTCTTTATAGCATAATATATGAATATTATCGTAATAAATGCCCTAACTACTATTTTTCTAGGAGCACTACACACCATACATTCACCAGTACTCTATACCACAAATTTCATTATCAAGACACTCCTTGTAACTACCTGTTTTTACGAATTCCAACAGCATACCCCCATTTCTGCTACGAACAATTCATATCTTCTATGAAAAAATTTTCTACCACTTACGCTAGCATTCTGCATATGTCTCAATGCCTATTCTAATTTCCAGCATTCTACCCCAAACATAAATATGTCTGATAAAAGAATGACTTTGATAGAGTAAACAAGGTTTAAATCCTCTTATTTCTAGAACTATAGGAATTGAACCTACCCGTGAGAATCCAAAATTGTCTGTGCTACCTATTACGCGATGTCCTAAAGTAAGGTCAGATAAATAAGCTATCAGGCCCATACCCTGAAAATGCTGGTTATCTCCTTCCTGTACTAATTAATCCACCAGCCCAACTTATTATTTATTTAACTATTTTCACAGGAACTCTTATCACAATACTAGGCTCATACTAATTTCTCATCTGGACAGGCCTAGAAATAAACATATTAGCTCTTACTCCAATCTTAATTAAAAAAAAAAATAAATCCCGGCCCTGGAGAAGCAGCCACCAAATACTTCCTTACACAAGCAACCACATCTATAATTCGTATGATAGGTATCCTTTCCAATAACCTGTACTCTGGACAATGAACAATAAATACTATTAATCGATTTTCATCCTTAATAATAGCCCTAGTAATAAAACTAGAAAGAGTCCTCTTTCATTTCTGAGTCCCAAAAGTGACCCAAGGAAGCTCTCTAATGTCTGGCATACTTCTCCTCACATGACAAAAACTAGCCCCTATCTTAATTATATTTCAAATTTTCCCATCAATAAACACACAAATATGCTATCACAATTTTATCCATTATGGTGGGTGGTTGAGGAGGACTTAATCAAACACAGCTACACAAAATCCTAGCCTACTCCTCAATTAATCATATAGGTTGAATGATAGCAGTACTAATTTATAACCCAAGCATTACTATTCTAAACCTGATTATTTGCTTTAACAATCGCCGCATTCCTAGCACTCACTCAACCTGAGTATAAGCACTACAACCCTGTCACTATTTCATGCCTGAAACAAACTAACATGGTTAACACCTATAATCCCACTAATTCTATTATCCCTAGGAGATTTACCTCCACTAACAGGATTTCTGCCCAAATGAGCCATCATTCAAGAATTTACAAAAAACAAGTCTTATTACCCCAACTATTATAGCTATCATAACCCTACTCTACCTGTACTTTTATATACGCCTAATTTATTCTATCTCAGTAACAATATTCCCCACATCTAATAATATGAAAATAAAATGACAATTCGAAAGCACAAAACTCATACTCCTCCTCCTCTCACTTATTTCTTCTACCCCTCCTTTTACCCATCTCTCCAATAATACTAATCATAACTTAGAAATTTAGGTTAAATAAGACCAAGAGCCTTCAAAGCCCTTAGTAAGTAAATTACACTTAATTTCTGTAACAGATCTAAGGACTGCAAGACTATTCTGCATCAATTGAATGCAAATCAATCACTTTAATTAACCTAAGCCCTTGCTAGATTGGTGGAATTCAAACCCAGGATAATTTAGTTAACAGCTAAACATCCTAATCAACTGGCTTCAATCTACTTCTCCTGCCCTTGTCGGGGAAAGGCGGATTGAAGCTGCCCCTTTGAATTCGCAATTCAACATGAGAAATCACCTCAGGGCTGGTAAAAAGAGGCCTTGACCTCTGTCTTTAGATTTATAGTCTAATGCTTACTCAGCCATTTTACCTTTTTTTCACTTACGTTCATCAATCATTGATTGTTTTCAACTACCCACAAAGACATCAGAACACTATATCTGTTATTTGGCGCATGAGTGGGAATAGGGGGCACCGCCTTAAGCCTTCTAATTCGAGCAGAATTAGGCCAACCAGGAACTCTGCTAGGAGATGGTCAGATTTATAATGTTATTGTTACAACCCACGCATTTGTATTAATCTTCTTTATGGTCATACCAATCATAATTGGGGCTTTTGGTAACTGGCTAGTCCCTCTGATAACTGGGGCACCTGACATGGCATTTCCCCGGATAAATAATATGAACTTCTGACTTCTCCTCCCCTCTTTCCTGCTTGCATCCTCAATGGTAGAAGCCAGTGCTGGAAATGGCTGAACTGTTTATCCCACTTTAGCAGGGAACTTAATTCATGCAGGAAACTCTGTAGGTATAACCATCTTCTCATTCCACTTGGCAGGTGTTTCTTCTATTTTAGGAGCCATTAACTTTATTACCACAATTTAATATAAAACCCTCTTCCCAATATCAAACATCCCTTTTTGTCTGATCAGCCCTCATTACAGCAGTCCTTCTCCTCCTTTCTCTCCCAGTTCTAGCCCCCGGCATTACCATACTATTAACTGACCGTAACCTCAATACTACTTTTTTTGACCCTGCTAGGGGAGGCAACCCTATCTTGTATCAACATTTATTCTGATTCTTTGGTCACCCTGAAGTCTATATCCTTATTCTACCAGGCTTCGGAATAATCTCCCATATCGCAACATATTATTCTGAAAAAAAAAGGAACCATTTGGGTATATGGGCATAGTATGAGCTATAATATCAATTGGCTTCCTAGGGTTTATCGTATGAGCTCACCATATATTTACAGTAGGAACAGACGTAGACACACGGGCATACTTCACTGCCACTACTATAATTATTGCTATCCCTACTAGCATCAAGGTCTTTAGCTGATAAGCTACAGTGCGTGGCGGTAACATCAAATGATCTCCTGCAATATTCTGAGCCCTAGGATTCATTTTCCTATTCACAGTAGGAGGTCTAACCAGCATTATACTAGCTAATTCATCACTAGACATTATCTTACATGACACATATTATGTTGTAGCCCATTTCCACTACATCCTATCAATAGGAATGGTATTTGCCATGATAGGGTGCTTTGTCCACTGATTCCCCTTATTTTCAGGTTATACAATTAATCAGATAGGCTAAAATCCACTTCACCATTATATTTATAGGTGTTAATTTAATCTTTTCCCCACAGCACTTCCTCAGCCTATCTGGTATGCCCCAACATTACTCTGATTATCCTGATGTGCACACCATATGAAATATTATCTCATCAGTAGGCTCACTTATCTCACTAGCAGCAGTTATACTAATAATTTTTAAGAACTGGGAAGCCTTTGCTTCAAAATGAAAAGTTCTAACAACTGAACAATCATCTACTAATTTAGAGTGACTTTACGGCTGTCCACCACCTTACCACACATTCGAAGAACCAACCTGCATGAAAACCTAAGCCAAAAAGGAAGGAATCGAACCTCCTGAAACTGGTTTCTAGCCAATCCCATAACCTCTATGAATTTCTTGATAAGATACTAGTAAAATCATTACATAACTTTGTCAAAGTTAAGTTATAGGTTAAACCCTGTATGTCTTAATGGCTCATGCAGTTCAGTTAGGCTTTCAAGGTGCTACATCCCCTATTATGGAAGAATTACTCACTTTCCATGACCATACTCTTATAATTATTTTCCTAATTAGTTCCCTGGTCCTATATATTATTTCCCTAATACTCACAACAAATTAATTCATACTAACAGCATAGATGCCCAAGAAATCGAGACTGTCTGAACTATCTCACCTGCCATTATCTTAATTTTAATTGCCCTCCCATCCCTACGTATTCTATAACAGATGAGGTTCACAACCCTTCTATTACCATCAAAACAACTGGTCACCAATGATATTGAAGCTATGAGTATACAGAACATGAAGAGTTAGGCTTTGATTCTTATATAACCCCAACAGCAGACTTAAAGCCAGGAGAGCTTCAACTCTTTGAAGTTGATAACTGAACAGTTCTCCCAATAGAGATACCCATCTGTATATTAGTCTCATCCGAAGACGTCCTACACTCATGAACTATTCCCTCATTAGGCATCAAAACAGATGCAATTCCTGAATGCTTAAACTACCTTGACTGCTACATGACCAGGCCTTTACTACGGACAGTGCTCAAAAATGTGTGGGTCTAACCACGGTTTTATACCTATTGTCCTAGAATCAATTCCCTTAAAAAATTTCGAAACCTGATCCACAACCACACTATAATATCACTGTAAAGCTACTTAGCTTTAACCTTTTAAGTTAAAGACTGAGGGGTCTACACCTCTCTGCAGTGAATGCCTCGACTAGATATTTCCACATGATCTATTGTTATCTTGTCAATAATCATAACTTTATTCTACATTATTCAGTTAAAACTACCAAATTTCATTTATTACACACCCCCTACACAAAAAATAATCAAAATACAAGAACATTTAACCTCTTGAGAATTAAAATGAATGAAAATTTATTCACCTCTTTTATTACCCCAACATTTCTAGGTCTACCCGCAGTAGTATTAACCATTTTATTTCCCACCATACTATTTCTAACCTCCAATCATCTAATTAGTCATCTACTGATCTCCATTCAACAATGAATAGTTCAACTTTACTAAAATAATAATTACCCATAACATTAAAGGACAAACCTGATCCCTAATACTGATATCCCTAATTTTCTTCATTGCCTCGACCAATCTCCTCGGGCTTCTACCCTACTCATTTATACCAACTACCCAATTATCAATAAATCTAGGTATAGCAATCCCCTTGTGAACATGCACAGTCATTACAGGCTTCCAGTTTAAAATGAAAATCTCCTTAGCCCACTTTTTTACCACAAGGCAGACCCATACCACTTATTCCTGTATTGGTAATCATTGAGACTATTAGCCTATTCATCCAACCAATAGCACTAGTTGAGTGATTAACAGCCAACATTACAGCTGGCCACCTACTAATACACTTAATCAGAGGAGCCACACTAGTACTATCAACTATTAGTCTTCCCACAGCTTCAATTGCTTTCATTATTTTAATCCTACTAACCATTCTCAAATTCGCCATAGCCCTTATTCAGGCTTATGTCTTTGCACTACTAGTAAGCCTCTATCTACATGACAACACCACGACCCACCAAACACATGCCTACCATATAGTCAACCCCAGTCCCTGACCATTAACAGGGGCTCTCTCAGCTCTTCTAATAACATCTGGCCTGGCCATGTGATTTCACTTCAACTCTATGACTCTTTTAACCCTAGGCTTGCTAACCAATACACTAACTGTATACCAATGATGACGTGATATTATCCAAGAAAGCACATTTCAAGGCCACCGTACAACAATTGTCCAAAAAGGCCTCCAATATGGAATAATCCTATTTATTATCTCAGAAGTATTCTTTTTTGCTGGTTTCTTCAGGGCATTTTACCACTCTAGTCTAGCTCCTACACCAGAATTAGGGGGACGTTGACCCTCAACAGGCATTTTTCCCCTCAACCCCTTAGAAGTCTCCCTCCTGAATACATCTGTATTACTTGCATCAGGGGTTTCAATTACTTGAGCTCACCACAGACTAATAGAAGGTAGTCAAAAACAGATAATTCAAGCACTATCCAACATTATTACTTTAGGTATTTACTTCACCCTCCTATAAATCTCAGAATATTTTGAAACCTCCTTCATTATCTCTGATGGGTTACCTCTTACCTCTTCACTGTCTCTGATGGGTTACCAATTACCTCTTACATTTTTTATTAATATCACATAGAACCATCTTGAAATATCTTATTCCAGGCCCTAACTTAACTACCTCTTCCTGAGATGAGAATTACAGTAACCTACATGGTATTCCTATTTCTATAAACTTATTTTGTACAATGATACCAGATAAATGCTTGAAGAGCTTTTCATAATAAAATTATCCTAAAATAACAATAACAAGAACAGCATTTGTAGGGTGCTTGCTATGTGCCAAGCACTTTAATGATGTTTTAATTCTCGTAATAATCCCATGAGGTAGGTACTATTACTACCCTCATTTTACAAATGAGAAAAGCGAAGTTTAGAGATGCTTAATTAACCTACCCAAGGTTACACAGTTGCTATGTGGTAGAATAGAACTCAAACAGGCAGACATATTCCAGCGGTCACATTCTTAGCCATTTTGCTCTATTATTTCTACATATAAATATCATTATTGCCTACAGCATTTAATCCAAGTTCCTTTCTTTGGCTTTAGAGACCTCAAAATCTGATCCAATCCTAATTATACTTCATTGTGTACCCGTCCTACTAGACTTACTCTTCTCTTCTACATGTCATCTTCCTATATTATTATTCTCTTCTAATTCAACAGCAATTTGTCTTAATGATACATTTTACTCTGTACGGCATATAGTTGGATAAAGAAATATACTCTCAAGAGCATTTATATTTTGATACATAAATTTGAAGCATTTACATTTATTATGACAACAGGACATACCCAGATTCAAATCCTGGTTCTGGAACTCTTTGCTGTGTGATTCTGGTTATGTAACACCCCACTGCCTCAAATTCATCACAGTAAAATGGAGACAACAGTATGTCACTCAAGATGTTACTGTGATGATTAAACGAGTTAATTAAATAAAGTTTTTAGAAAGTTTAGAATCCTTTCCAACTGGTTCCTTCACTGTGCCAAGAATCTTTCATGACTGACAATATATCTACTCCAAATTAAAAACAACTTAGTTACAATCTGTGGTACAAATCAAAACTATAGTATTTTGATAATCATGGTTGATTAACAGAGACGGCAATGTATGTACAAAGAAAAAACAATGCAAAACAGATTCTTTTTCAAGGTAAAATAAAAAAGAAGACAAGGATGCCAGAGTAGACCTTTCTGTATATGTAGAAAAGCACTGGATATTTTAATGCTAGTATATGTGAATGTAGGAAGTTCTAGGAAGGCTATTATTTTATATTCAAACAGAGAGGACTGTTAGGTTGACTATCAGAGGTTTCCCTATATTGAGTACAAACAGCAAGGGGGCGTGAAAAAAAAAAAGAAAACTTAATTCCTATAGCACTCCACTGAAATATTTTCCAGATACCAACTTCTGCAAAGTTTCTATTCTCCAAACAGCTAAAATAAATCTGTGCAGAACATCCCATATTTTTGTTTCTATCAAATAGATATAAAATACATGGATTTTATTATCATTTAAAATGGTCCAATTTTTCAGCACAAGAAGTGTTGATTTCCCCTTCTTCTAAAACTATCTAGACTTTTCACTGGTAATCATCATTTCCTTACTCTCAGTATATGTGTTAAAGGCAAAGATAAATCCATCCCCAGCTCCAGGAAGAGGCATTTGGCTGAAGCTCTGGTCAGTGAGAGCTTTGCACACACTGCCCACTGAACTAGTATGGGAATAGGCATAACGCATGAGCCAACTGGTTTTAATCAAAGCAAATCCTAAGATTTTTGTGTGTGTTACTAGAAAACACGTGTTCTTTCTGTTGGACTTGGAGCTTGGAATATAAAACTCAAGCTCATGTATAGGGGACCTGCCCCAAAGTGAAATCAACATAAATTTCATTATATATGTAACACTAGATAGCTAACATAAACTGACATGCTAATGACAATTTAAGTTCCTACATCAAGCTGGCATAATGCTAGATACCATTGGATTCTTCAGTTACATCAGTCAATTAATTTTTATATGGCTTAAGCCAGTGTGACTCGGGTCTTCTGCTATTAACTATATGATTCCTGACAAATATATGTGTGATGGAGGAGTCACTTATAACAATGAAATAAAAATACATACAGTTAGTACTCGCTTACCTTTTGGTTTAATAAAGCACTTGCCAATTTTTGTACTTCTGAACTCAGTAAAGTAGTTCCTCTGATGACTTTGCTGAGAGCAGCAAGAGACTGGTGGACACTTTGTACTAAACGAATAGCATTAAATTGTTCAAGAATGATGAATGACAGTATTGGAGATCCTTGTCGATCGTTAGGAGGAGGCACTTTCTGATGTATTAGGTTTGAATTCTAAAAGAAAAATGTCATAATATTTACCGAATAGTAACACAGATCACTGATATATAAAACGCTTTGAAACTTATTTAAACCTTTTGTTCTATTCTGTTTTAAAAACTATTTTGAAATGCTTTTATTTTATAAACGGTCAAATGTATTAAGTCAGCAAATACACAGGAAGGGAATTCTGGAGTTCCTCAACATTTAAAGCGGTGTGTGGGCCAGGCGCGGTGGCTCCCATCTGTAATCCCAGCACTCTGGGGGGCCAACGCAGGTGGAGCATTTGAGGTAAGGAGTTTGAGACCAGTCTGGCCAACACGGTGAAACCCCGCCTCTACTAAAAATACAAAAAAAAAAAAAAAAAATTAGCCGAATATGGTGGTGTGCACCTGTAACCACAGCCACTCAAGAGGTTGAGGCAGGAGAATTGCTTGAACCCCGGAGATGGAGGTTGCAGTGAGCCAAGATTGTGCCACTGCCCTCCAGCCTGGGCGACAGAGTGAGACTCCATCTCAAAAAAAAAAACAAAAAAAAAACGGTGTGGGAAATGAGAATTAAGAACAGTGAAAGGGAAACCACATTAAGTAATAGTATGGTAAGAAAAGAAAGTAGAAAAAATGGCATCCCGTAAGTCAATGCAAAGAGATCAGAACAACTGCAATACTACTCGACCACTACAAAGAGAGCAGAAGAGATCATGGTTTTAAAATAAAATGTGAATGGGCATTTTTTTCAATTTGAAAATTACAACACAAAACCACAGTAAAACGAAAAACGAAATCTTGTGCTCAAGATCAGTGAACATTATATCTTAGTATTTATTTCTATATATATGCTTTAACAAGGCCTGTGATATATGACAGTTCTGGGGTTTCTTAAGAAAAACTGAAGGAATCCCATTTGTTTCCAAACAGCTTATTAAGAGAAAAAAAATCACTTTCAATAATTAAAAGAAAAAGATCACTTTCAATAATAGTCTAAAAGTGTCAAAGAACTGCCAAGAAATAATTTTGGAAAGTGCTATTCTCTTACCTACTACTCATTATCTTAATTTTCTCTATGTATTCTGCTTACAGTCTTCATTAAGGATCCCTTCTCCTCATTCTACTAGTTGCCACATTGACGAGTCTATGGTGGCACTGTTGCTTTTTCATCTATTTAGCATAGTAAGTAATTTAACCTACCATGGTTACTGCCATTAAATAAATCAACATTAAGTAAATTTTATTAGCATAAAATCATTCCTAAAAGCAGATTCAGGCTATGAGCTTAAATGTTGACATTTTTATCCCTATCACTGCTACATTTACAATATTAATACTCTGAAATCATTTTTGAGATACATTCATACTGAATCCAGAGGGGGAAAATGTCTAATATTATAAAAAATTAATTAGAATTAACTACTTGTCAGAGCATGCAATAAATAATATTTAGCACATCTCCATCCTAAATCAACTAAGTAATAAAATTCAAATAAAATTTGACTTATAGACCTTCTGTAATCCTTTATATTAAAACAGGGTTCCTGGAAGTAAATAATATGTGGTATTTAAATATTTATCAATCATATACCAAGCAAGATTAACAAGTACTAATTTAGTTTGTTTCAAAGTATATTTTGTGGATTTTAATCCATTTTATTAAGTTGATAGCATTGTTTGCACTGTCACTTAATAGAACAAAAACACTCAAACTTAGATCATTGAAGCAAGATTCCATTTATCTACAATCCAAGAAAATAGGTAGCTAAATGTACTAAACATTTTATTTTTTATTTATTAACTTTTTCTTGACAGGGTCTTACTCTGTCTGTCACCAAGGCTGGAGTGGCTTACTGCAGCCTCGACCTCCTGGGCTCAGGTGATCCTCCCACCTCAGCCTCCTGAGTAGCTAGGAATACAGGCACCCATCACCACACCCAGCTAATTTTTGTATTTTTTGTAGAGACAGGTATTTGCCATGTTGCCCAGGCTGGTCTCAAACTCCAGGACTCAAGTGATCAACCTGTCTTGGCCTCCCAAAATGCTAGGATTACAGGCATGAGCCACCATGTCCAGCCTAAACTTTTTAAAAGGTTGATTTAGCAATCCCCACAATATCCAAGCTGAAACTAACTCAATTCTAAAAATAAATACAGCTGCTTTAAACATTCTCAAAAGATGAATGGAGCATATTTATGCAATAGCAACATGTTAAATTGTATGTTACGTAGTCTTGAAAATAAACTCAACATTTATAATTCAAATATAGCTAACAATCACAAAATGAGTATGTTACAACGACTATGCAGTATGCTTTTTGATGAAACTAGCAACTGACAGCCATATGTTTACTCAATTGATTACTAGGGTTTTTTTTTTATTGAGTAAATACAATTGATTGAATTGTATATTTTTGAAGGATTGCTTTTGACATTTTAAAGTTCATCTTGTCCTTAAAAAGCTCAGTGTATACAGACAAAATCATTATCTGATCATGGAGCTGCTAGGAGGGAATAAGGTTTTCTTAATTCCTTTCTGTCTGCCTTTCTTTCTCTCATTCTGTCTCTATTTATTTTTATTGATTTAGACACAAGTGCAGGTTTCTTACATGTATATAATGCATAGTGGTGAAGTCCACACTTTTAAAGTACTTATCACCTATGAAGTACAATGTGCACTATTTAGGTATTTTTTCAACCCTTACCCACCTCCCACCTTTTACAGTGCCCCATATCTATTATTCCACTTTGTATGTCCATGTGTACCCATTGTTTAGCTCCCATTTATAAGTCAGAACATGTGGTATTTGACTTTGTTTCTGAGTTATTTCACTGAGGATAATGGCCTTCAGCTCCACCCATATTGCTACAGAAGACATAATTTCATTCTTTTTTATGGCTGAGTGGTACTCCATGCTGTGTGTGTGTATACAGGTTATCAATATTTAAAACTTAACTATTAAGCAAGAAAACTCATTTAGGCAAGAAAAATTTGTCTAATTTGGTACAATTTAGGTGTGAAACCAGGTTGTTTGTGTTTTAACTGAAACAATTTCCTAGGTGGGATACTATTTTAGACCTAAGTGAATGGATGACACATGAAAGTAGCATTCTTTTTGTTTGTTGATAATTGAGCTTTTAGAAATGATTCTCCCTCAGAAAGAATTTTTGTCAGCAGAGTACACTCAAGCAATGGGTAGACCAGAGTTTAGCATGTTCATCCGTAAAAGTCCAGAGAGTAAACACGTCAGACTTTGTGGGCTGTAAGGTCTCTGTTGCAACTACTCAATTCTGCTGTTGTAGGATGAAAATAGTCACAGACAATATAAACAAATAGGTATGACTGGGTTTTAATAGAACTGTATTTACAAAAACTAGCAGCAGGCTAGATTTGGCCTATTCCTGAGTTGCAGTTTGCCAACCTCTCAACTAGATTATCACTTGTACAAGGTGTTATGGGGATTGATATAGAGTCTAGGTAACATCAGAGTCCTTCTCAGATATGTGACTCAGTGAAATTCATAAGATGTAAAATGTAGCCTCTGCTGTATTTATCCAGAGCTTATAAAACAGTAATCAACAAATGGACAAAGGTATTTTTTCCAGATTATATGATCATGTCTTGGTTCAATGTATGTTTTCTATGATAAGGAAGATAAAGATAACAAAAGACTCGATGAACAGTCACTTTAAAAAGCAAAAAAGGAAATTAGAAGTAAAAACAAAGTTGGAGTGGATCTGTAAGGGTTAAAGAAAAGGGAAAAATACCTTCACTTCTATGTAATGGAAATTCTACCTTTGCCCTCAAGTAACCCTTCATTCCTCTTTAGATAATCATTTCCTATCGTCTGGGCAGAAGCCTTTCCCAAGTCTTAGTCCACAGAGTTCTGGAAGAGTTGATTCAACTCAGTTCCACAAATTAATTTGCAACTTGAATTGGGGCTTAACTAATGAGAGCGTTCCATTCTCTTGACCACAGTGACTGGTTCAGGGATGGCAGCATGACCAAACAGAGACAATGAAATGTGGTAAGAATTCTGCTGGGTATTCTGAAAAATAGGTAACTGTTTCTTTCTACTAGACTTGAACCTGAGGGATCATAAATTAGAGAATAGCTGCAATAATTCTGTGATAATAAAGAGATGCTGTATGAAAAATGGTGCCAATACAGAGAAGTGTGTGTGTGTGTGTGTGTGTGTACATATACATAAATATATATATGATATATATGTATATCAGTGATACAATGATCATATGTAACATACATGATCATATGCATGTATATATTCCAGCACATCAGATCTTTCAGAATATATATTATATATGAGGATATACATAATACATAATAAGAAATATATATGTATATAGAAATCACTGGGTCCTCATGACATTCTTGCAAGTTTCTTGAAACAAGCTATGAAAAAAACATTTTAACACCTTTTCAATCATATACACCATACATTTCCATTTTTCACATAAGTCAGTTTGAGCTGAGTTTTCCAATTACTTGCAATCTAAAATGTCATAACTGATTAATGCAAGTTCAACAGACAACTTTCCCAAGCATCTACGATCAGAAAGGTCAAAATATTACATATCTGGATTAAATTATGCCCATATCTGCATGTCTGTATATTATGTACATATCTGCATTAAATTAAATCCACAAGTGGATTTCTGGCAAAACTGTGGAAAGAGGAGGGTAGGGAAGGGAATAAAAAAGGAAAGAAAACAGCATTTTGAGTTTGGTGAGTTCAGGGAATTCAAAGATTATAGAATTTCTTGCCACCCATTTCACAGGATAGCTGGCTGCCTTACTGTACCAAAAGCCAGTTATTAGTGGACAGAGCTTGGATTTCTAAACCTTTTATACCTAGTAACAACTATAGTCATACCTCAGGGGATTGGATCCCCTCCCCTCCCATAGCACAGGGTATCCACATCGCAATTACTTTTGCACCAACCTTATTTCAAACAAAAGCTCCTTTGTATTAGCTCTGTTTGTCCACTAATAATTGGCTTTTGGTACAGTAAGGCAGATGGCTATCCTATAAAATGGGTAGCTAGAAATTCTATAATCTTTCAACTCTTTGAACTCACCAAACTCATAATGCTATTTTCTTTCCTTTTTTATTCCCTTCCCTACCCTCCTCTTGGTATTGAGCCTCCCTCAATACCAAAATCTATGGATGCTCAAATTTCTTATATAAAATGGGGTAGTATTTGCACATAAACTGCACACATAATTCTGTATACTTTAAATAATCTCTAGGTTACTTATAACACCTAATACAATGTAAGTAAGCATTACGTAAGTAGTTGTTATACTGTATTGTGTTTTTTATTTCAGGATATTTTCAATCTATGGTTGGTTGAATTTGCAGATGTGGAACCTACAGATTCGGAGATCCGTATTCCTTTTCATAGCAAATTGTCAAGTGGATCAAATAAAACCCAAACAGTCATGTTTTAATTGCAATTAAAGATATGTTATTTAATTGAGCAAGCAGAATTCAACCAGGGAAAGTAAGTAATAAATACCCAATAAATTGTTTAAATCAGAAGTGTTGAAGAGCTGAAATAAAGGGCAAAAACACAGGAAACTAGTAGATCAAGTAAAGCCAAGGCTAAAAGAGAAGGGGAGTTGATATGGTTTGGCTGTGTCCCCACCCAAATCTCATCTTGAATTCCCATATGTTGTGGGAGGGACCCAGTGGGAGGTAATTGAATAATAGGGGTAGGTCTTTCCCATGCTGTACTCGTGATAGTGAATAAGTCTCATGAAATCTGATAGTCTTATAAAGAGGAGTTCTCCAGCACAAGCTCTCTCTCTTTGCCTGCCCGCATCCACATAAGAAGTGACTTAACTCCTCCTCGCCTTCCGCCATGACTGTGAGGCCTCCCCAGCCATATGGAACTATAAGTTCATTAAACCTCTTTCTTTTATAAATTGCCCAGTCCCGGTGTGTCATTATCAGTGCGTGAAATGGACTAATACAGGAGTATTCTGAAAGATCTGAGGCATGGAAGCTAATGCTATTACATATTTCTAAAAGAAAAATCAGGAGAAACCTACAGAACACTAATACAAAGGGGCTTTTGTTTGAAATAAAGTTGGTGCAAAAGTAATTGTGATTTTGCCATTTTAATAAAAACTATGAAACTTTCAAGGCATATGAAATGAGTAAATAATTTTAAAGCAAATAATTTTTGAAGTAGGCTATTAATAGAAAAGATGGCACATTAATAAAAATTTTTATTTCTAGGAAAGTATCTTTAATATGATATCTGCTCCATAATTTGGCCTGAGGAATGATTCTGCTCTGTGAAGCTATCAAGTAAACAGGCAAACTAGTAGAATAATAGAGTAACAATACAATCTCACATTAAGAGGCCTAACACAGACCATGATATTTAAGAGGAAGAATAGCTAATTTTCATGGAGTACTGACTATGTGTCAGGCATATGCCTTTCAGTACAAAGTTATTTTGTTACATTTTAAGTTCTGGCTGGGTGCCATGGCTCACACCTGTAATCCCAGCACTTTGGGAGGCTGAGGTGTGTGGATCACCTGAGGTCAGGAGTTCAAGAGCAGCCTGGCCAACATGGTGAAACCCCGTCTCTACTAAAAACACAAAAATTAGCTGGGCATGGTGGTGCACACCTGTAATCCCAGCTACTTGGGAGGCTGAGGCAGGAGAATCGCTTGAACCTGGGAGGCGGAGGTTGCAGTGAGCTGAGATCACACCATTGCACTCCAGCCTGGGTGACAAGAGCGAAACTCCATTTCAAAAAAAAAAAAAATAGTTTCAGGAATATAAGAGTGTGAGAGAAGGGTGGGTTATGAAGAATAACATACAATATCATACATTTGAGATTTTTGTACTTGCTTAAAGGAAACCAACAGGAAGACTTTTTTTTTTTCCAAAATTGACTTACACTGAAAAGTTTATCTTTGCCTCCATACCCCCTAAAAATCAAATGATGTATATTTTTCCATGAAATGCCTTTTGGTGTGGTTTATGTGCATGACTGATTCTTAGAAAGCCAATAAGATAGGGGTGGAGCCAAGATGGCCGAATAGGAACAGCTCCAGTCTAAAGCTCCCAGCGTGAGCGACGCAGAAGACGAAAGATTTCTGCATTTCCAGCTGAGGTACCGGGTTCATCTCACTGCGGATTGTCGGACAGTGGGTGCAGCGCACCAAGTGTGAGCCGAAGCAGGGCGAGGCATCACCTCACCCAGTAAGCGCAAGGGGTCAGGGAATTCCCTTTCCTAGCCAAGGAAAGGGGTGACAGATGGCACCTGGAAAGTCAGGTCACTCCCAACCTAATACTGTGCTTTTCCAACGGTCTTAGCAAACGGCACACCAGGAGATTGTATCCTGCACCTGGCTTGGAGGGTCCTATGCCCATGGAGCCTAGCTCATTGCTAGCACAGCAGTCTGAGATCAAACTGCAAGGCAGCAGGAGGCTGGGGGAGGGGCGCCCGCCATTGCCCAGGCTTGAGTAGGTAAACAAAGTGGCCGGGAAGCTCGAACTGGGTGGAGTCCACCGCAGCTCAAGGAGGGCTGCCTGCCTCTGTAGACTCCACCTCTGCGGGCAGGGCATAGCCAAACAAAAGGCAGCAGAAATGTCCTCTGCGGACTTAAATGTCCCTGTCTGACAGCTTTGAAGAGAGTAGTGGTTCTCCCAGCACGGAGTTTGAGATCTGAGAACAGACAGACTGCCTCCTCAAGTGGGTCCCTGACCCCCGAGTAGCCTAACTGGGAGGCACCCCCCAGTAGGGGCACAATGACACCTCACACGGCTGGGTACCCCTCTGAGACAAAGCTTCCAGAGGAAGGATCAGGCAGCAACATTTGCTGTTCAGCAATATTGGCTGTTCTAAAGCCTCTGCTGCTGATACCCAGGCAAACAGGGTCTGGAGCGGACCTCCAGCAAACTCTAACAGACCTGCAGCTGAGGGTCTTTACTGTTAGAAGGAAAACTAACAAACAGAAGGGACATCCACACCAAAACCCCATCTGTACATCACCATCATCAAAGACCAAAGGTAGATAAAATCACAAAGATGGGGAAAAAACAGAGCAGAAAAGCTGAAAATTCTAAAAATCAGAGCGCCTCTTCCCTTCCAAAGGAACACAGCTCCTTACCAGCAACAGAACAAAGCTGGACAGAGAATGACTTTGACGAGTTGAGAGAAGTAGGCTTCAAACAATCAAACTTCTCCGAGCTAAAGGAGGAAGTCTGAACCCATCGCAAAGAAGCTAAAAACCTTGAAAAAAGATTAGATGAATGGCTAACTAAAATAACCAGTGTAGAGAAGTCCTTAAATGACCTCATGGAGCTGAAAACCAGGGCATAAGAACTACGTGATGAATGCACAAGCTTCAGTAGCCAATTCAATCAACTGGAAGAAAGGATATCAGTGATTGAAGATCAAAAGAATGAAATGAAGCGAGAAGAGAAGTTTAGAGAAAAAAGAGTAAAAAGAAATGAACAAAGCCTCCAAGAAATATGGGACTATGTGAAAAGACCAAATCTACGTCTGATTGGCGTACCTGAAACTGATGGGAAGAATGGAACCAAGTTGGAAAACACTCTGCAGGATATTATCAGGGAGAATTTCCCCAATCTAGCAAGACAGGCCAACATTCAGATTCAGGAAATACAGAGAATGCCACAAAGATACTCCTCGAGAAGAGCAACTCCAAAACACATAATTGTCAGATTCACCAAAGTTGAAATGAAGGAAAAAATGGTAAGGGCAGCCAGAGAGAAAGGTCGGGTTACCCACAAAGGGAAGCCCATCAGACTAACAGCTGATCTCTTGGCAGAAACTCTACAAGCCAGAAGAGAGTGGGGGCCAATATTCAACATTCTTAAGAAAAGAATTTTCAACCCAGAATTTCATATCCAGCCAAACTAAACTTCCTAAGTGAAGGAGAAATAAAATACTTTATAGACAAGCAAGTGCTGAGAGATTTTGTCACCACCGGGCCTGCCCTACAAGAGCTCCTGAAGGAAGCACTCAACATGGAAAGGAACAACTGGTACCAGCCACTGCAAAAACATGCCAAATTGTAAAGCCCATCAAGGCTAGGAAGAAGCTGCATCAACTAACGAGCAAAATAACCAGCTAACATCATAATGACAGGATCAAATTCACACATAACAATACTAACCTTAAATGTAAATGGGCTAAATGCTCCAATTAAAAGACACAGACTGGTAAATTGGATAAAGAGTCAAGACCCATCAGTGTGCTGTATTCAGGAAACCCATCTCATGTGCAGAGACACATATAGACTCAAAATAAAGGGATGGAGGAAAATCTATCAAGCAAATGGAAAACAAAAAAAGGCAGGGGTTGCAATCCTAGTCTCTGATAAAACAGACTTTAAGCCAACAAAGATCAAAAGAGACAAAGAAGGCCATTACATAATGGTAAAGGGATCCATACAACAAGAAGAGCTAACTATCCTAAATATATATGCACCCAATACAGCAGCACCCAGATTCATAAAGGAAGTCCTTAGAGACCTACAAAGAGACTTAGACTCCCACACAATAATAATGGGAGACTTTAACACCCCACTGTCAACATTAGACAGATCCACAAGACAGAAATTTCGCAAGGATATCCAGGAATTGAACTCAGCTCTGCACCAAGTGGACCTAATAGACATCTACAGAACTCTCCACCCAAAATCAACAGAATATACATTCTTCTCAGCACCACACCACACCTATTCCAAAATTGACCACATAGTTGGAGGTAAAGCACTCCTCAGCGAATATAAAAGAACAGAAATTATAACAAACTGTCTCTCAGACCACAGTGCAATCAAACTAGAACTCAGGATTAAGAAACTCACTCAAAACCACTCAATTACATGGAAACTGAACAACCTGCTCCTGAATGACTACTGGGTACATAACGAAATGAAGGCAGAAATAAAGATGTTCTTTGAAACTAACGAGAACAAAGACACAACATACCAGAATCTCTGGGACACATTCAAAGCAGTGTGTAGAGGGAAATTTATAGCACTAAATGCCCACAAGAGAAAGCAGGAAAGATCCAAAATTGACACCCTAACATCACAATTAAAAAACTAGAGAAGCAAGAGCAAACACATTCAACAGCTAGCTGAAAGCAAGAAATAACTAAGATCAGAGCAGAAATGAAGGAAATAGAGACACAAAAAACCCTTCAAGAAATCAATGAATCCAGGAGGTGGTTTTTTGAAAAGATCAACAAAATTGATAGACTGCTAGCAACACTAATAAGAAAAGAGAGCAGAATCAAATAGATGCAATAAAAAATGTTAAAGGGGGTATCACCACCGATCCCACAGAAATACAAACTACCATCAGAGAATACTATAAACACCTCTACACAAATAAACTAGAAAATGTAGAAGAAATGGATAAATTCCTCGACACATACACCCTCCCAAGACTAAACCAGGAGAAGTTGAATCTCTGAATAGATCAATAACAGCATCTGAAATTGAGGCAATAGTTCATAGCTTGCCAACCAAAAAAAGTCCAGGACCAGATGGATTCACAGCTGAATTCTACCAGAGGTACAAGGAGGAGCTGGTACCATTCCTTCTGAAACTATTCCAATCAATAGAAAAAGAGGGAATCCTCCCTAACTCATTTTAAGAGGCCAGCATCATCCTCATAACAAAGCCTGGCAGAGACACAACAAAAAAAGGGAATTTTAGACAATATCCCTGATGAACATCAATGCAAAAATCCTCAATAAAATACTGGCAAACCAAATCCAGCAGCACATCAAAAATCTTATCCACCATGATGAAGTGGGCTTCAACCCTGGGATGCAAGGCTGGTACAACATACGCAAATCAATAAATGTAATCCAGCATATAAACAGAACCAATGACAAAAACCACCTTATTATCACCTCAATAGATACAGAAAAGGCCTTTGACAAAATTCAACAACCTTCATGCTAAAAACTCTCAATAAATTAGGTATTGATGGGACATATCTCAAAATAAGAGCTATCTATGAGAAACCCACAGCCAATATCATACTGAATGGGCAAAAACTGGAAGCATTCCCTTTGAAAACTGGCACAAGACAGGGATGCCCTCTCTCACCATTCCTATTCAACATAATGTTGGAAGTTCTGGCCAGGGCAATCAGGCAGGAGAAGGAAATAAAGGATATTCAATTAGGAAAAGAGGAAGTCAAATTGTCCCTCTTTGCAGATGACATGATTGTATATCTAGAAAACCTCATTGTCTCAGCCCAGAATCTCCTTAAGCTGATAAGCAACTTCAGCAAAGTCTCAGGATACAAAATCAATGTGCAAAAATCACAGGCATTCTTATACACCAATAACAGACAAACAGAGAGCCAAATCATGAGTGAACTCCCATTCACAATTGCTTCAAAGAGAATAAAATACCTAGGAATCCAACTTACAAGGGATGTGAAGGACCTCTTCAAGGAGAACTACAAACCACTGCTCAAGGAAATAAAAGAGGATACAAACAAATCGAAGAACATTCCATGCTCATGGGTAGGAAGAATCATTATCGTGAAAATGGCCATACATCCCAAGGTAATTTATAGATTCAATGCCATCCCCATCAAGCTACCAATGACTTTCTTCACAGAATTGGAAAAAAACTACTTTAAAGTTCATATGGAACCAAAAAAGAGCCTGCATTGCCAAGTCAATCCCAAGCCAAAAAACAAAGCTGGAGGCATCACACTACCTGACTTCAAACTATACTACAAGGCTACAGTAACCAAAACAGCATGGTACTGATACCAAAACAGAGATATAGACCAATGGAACAGAACAGAACTCTCAGAAATAATGCCACATATCTACAACTATCTGATCTTTGACAAACGTGACAAAAACAAGAAATGGGGAAAGGATTCCCTATTTTAATAAATGGTGCTGGGAAAACTGGCTAGCCATATATAGAAAGCTGAAACTGGATCCCTTCCTTACACCTTATATAAAAATTAATTCAAGATGGATTAAAGACTTAAATGTTTGACCTCAAACCATAAAAACCCTAGAAGAAAACCTAGGCAATACCATTCAGGACATAGGCATGGGCAAGGACTGCATGTCTAAAACACCAAAAGCAATGGCAACAAAAGCCAAAATTGACAAATGAGATCTAATTAAACTAAAGAGCTTCTGCACAGCAAAAGAAATTACCATCAGAGAGAACAGGCAACTGACAGAATAGGAGAAAATTTTTGCAATCTACTCATCTGACAAAGGGCTAATATCTAGAATCTACAATGAACTCAAACAAATTTGCAAGAGAAAAACAAAGAACCCCATCAACAAGTAGGTGAAGGATATGAACAGACACTTCTCAAAAGAAGACATCTATGCAGCCAAAAGACACATGAAAAAATGCTCATCATCACTGGCCATCAGAGAAATACAAATCAAAACCACAATGAGATACCATCTCACACCAGTTAGAATGTCAATCATTAAAAAGTCAGGAAACAACAGGTGCTGGAGAGGATGTGGAGAAATAGGAGCACTTTTACACTGTTGGTGGGACTGTAAACTAGTTCAACCATTGTGGAAGTCAGTACGGCGATTCCTCAGGGATCTAGAACTAGAAATACCATTTGACCCAGCCATCCCATTACTGGGTATATACCCAAAGGATTATAAATCATGCTGCTATAAAGACACATGCACACGTATGTTTATTGCTGCACTATTCACAATAGCAAAGACTTGGAACCAACCCAAATGTCCAACAACGATAGACTGGATTAAGAAAATGTGGCACATACACACCATGGAATACTATGCAGCCACAAAAAATGATGAGTTCATGTCCTTTGTAGGGACATGGATGAAGCTGGAAACCATCATTCTCAGCAAACTATTGCAAGGACAAAAAAACAAACACCACATGTTCTCACTCATAGGTGGGAATTGAACAATGAGAACACATGTACACAGGAAGGGGAACATCACACACTGGGGCCTGTTGTGGGGTGGGGGGAGTGTGGAGGGATAGCATTAGGAGATATATCTAACGTTACATGATGAGTTAATGGGTGCAGCACACCAACATGGCACATGTATACATATGTAACAAACCTGCACGCTGTGCACATGTACTCTAAAACTTAAAGTATAATAATAATAAAAAAAAGAAAGCCAATAAGATAGCCCAAAATACTTTTGTGTGTGTGTGTGTGTGGTGTGTTTTAAAGTATGAGGAGAGCCCAACTGCTCTCAAAGAGTAAGCTAATTGGTTCAATAACTTTATGGCTAAAAGGAAGAGTTAGCATTTCAACAGCTACTGTAGAGACTCAATGAGAAAACAAAAAATAATTCCAATACCACATAACATCACCAGTGAACAAAAAAAGGAAGTCTACAAACAAAGCATAATCATTTAATACACATATATAACTTATTTCACAGTTGCTCAAAATAAAAAGATTATTTCAGCTTCTATTTCAAGTAGGGCTAGCTGCTGCTGAAAACAACCAAAAATGTTGAATAACATATTAAAGCATATTCTTAAATGCAACAAATGTAACTACGAGTTCAGAAGTAAGGCATGATTATTCAGAAAGCTAAGTGTTGACTTTTTAATCTTCATCTTTATTTACCTCATGTTGAATGTGAACAGAGGTATTCTAGATCAGATTGCTTATTAATTCTCTCATAGTAACTAAGTGTGTTGCCCCTACCTTCTTGCCCCAGGCCTTATTTCTGGGGCAGCCACATGAAAACCAGATCAATTATCCTATTCAAGTAGACAGATCTTCCATTGGCTAGGTACAAGGGGTAGAGAAAAATGGTTTTTCTCTGCTTATAAAGAGGAAGAAGGCAGCTGTCCTCTTTCCTTTGAAAGGGGATGTCTAGGAAATGTAATGTGACTGAATTTTAAAGAACACTGTGGTACGTAAATAAAATCTCTCCAGGAGCCAGATGACCTAGAGATGATTCCAAGTTTTAGAGCTTTATTCCTTTTGATATGTAAATATTTAAGGAGATAATGCTATAGTCCCTCCAGGACTCTGGATTTAATATAGGATTTTAGGCCCTTTGGCCCTTTTCTGGAAGCTAATATAAGTTTTATTATCCTTTCTGATCAGACCAATAAACTAGGCAATGGCTACAAATTTAATTCTATGGTAGATGAAGAGTCATAAGACTAGGGTTTTTTACACAGAAACACTGAGAATGTAACATGCTGACAGATCAGATTCAGCTGAAAAAAAACAGTGAACCAGAAGACAGTTCTGTAGAATTTATTCAGAATGCATCATGTAGAAAAAAAGATGGAAATTATGAGAAATAAGACACATGATGAACAGAGAGAGAAAGGTCTAACATACATCCAATATCAGAGTTCCAGAAAAGAGAGATAGTGAAGTAGTCAAAATTTAAAGAGTAACTCAGATGTTGATAGTACTGATCAACACCACTAATGAAAATTCAAAAAGCCCATTAAATCTTACCCAATTTTTTAAAAAAATGAATTAAAGAGAAAAAGAACACAATTCCATACCCAATCTCAACAGTATAACTGCAGAAAATCAAGGTAAAGAGATCTTAAAAGCAGCAAGAAAAGATAGATCAAAGAAGCAAAAATTGACTTCTCAACAACAGAAACCAGAAAAGACAGAATTCTATCTCAAATCTACCTTCAGTATAATGAGACATTAGATGTTAATACAGAATAACATACCCTTTAAGACAGAGGGCAAATTAAAGGCATTTTCAGATAAAAACTCAAGAGTTCACAACCAAAAGATACTTTCTACACTATAAGCAGATGCAAAGTGAAACCAAACAGAATGTCTGAGATACAGGAAGAAATAAAGAACAATACAAGTGATAAACATGGGGCAAATCCAAATAAGCATTATGTACATGACTACAACAACAAGAAAGACAGACTAAAATATAAAATCATAACTGCATATAAAGTTGGAATTGAGTACAATATACTAAGCTTCTTGAACTGTCTGGGAGTTATGCAAATATACTGAGTTTAACTTTGATAAGCTATGTATGTACAAAAAACATACAGAATACCAACTAAAAAGTAAAAAATGCATATAAGTTGTAAACTAGGAAAAAGAAACATTAGAAAATAATCAGTCCAAAGGAAGATGAGTAAAAAAAAGTATAAAAAATATAAAATGTATAATTAATCCAAATTAATGTAAACAGACTAAATATTCCAGTTATAGATCAGGCATAATCCAGCTATAGGCTCTTTATAAGAGGCACCCATAGAAAAACTCGAGAAAGTTAACGTTAAAAGTATAAATTAGGATATATCTAGCAAAAAATAACCAAAAGAAAACTGACATATTAATATCAGAAAAATAGGAAAAACATAAGCGCTAAAGGGAATCACTTTACGATGACAAATGTTCAATATATCAAGAAGAGATAACATTCTGAACCTGTATAAATAAAACAAATGAACAAAATACCATTTTGTGTATGTGTAGTAGTATAAGCTTTGAATTAAAACATTTTACACTAAAGGATAAAATGGGAGGACAGCAGTCAACAATAGCAGAATATTCATTCTTTTCAAACATAACAAAATGTTATTGCATAGTGGGCCATAAAGCAAATCCCAACAAATTTCAAAAGATTACTGTCATAAGACCATATTCTCTAGTCATAATGTAGTCATACATAATAGACATCTATACCTAAAAGGTAATCAAGACAGTAAAGAATGAGTAAAAAAATGGAGCATAGAAGATGAAGTTACAATGAAATTTAGAAAATATTTAAAAGTGAACAATAATGAAAACATGCCTATCAAGCTGTGGGTTATAGTTAAAATGGTGCTCAGTAATATAGCCTTCAGTGCTTTTATTAAGATTTTTAAAAGGAGAGGCCGGGCATGGTGGTTCACGTCTGTAATCCCAGCACTTTGGGAGGCTGAGGCGGGCAGATCATGAGGTCAGGAGATGGAGACCATCCTGGCTAACATGGTGAAACCCCGTCCCTACTAAAAATACAAAAAAATTAGCTGGGCGTGGTGGTGGGTACCTGTGGTCTCAGCTACTCGGGAGGCTGAGGCAGGAGAATGGCGTGAACGCGGGAGGCAGAGCTTGCAGTGAGCCAAGATTGCGCCACTGCACTCCAGCCTGGACAATAGAGCGAGACTCCATCTCAAAAAAAAAAAAATAAAGATTTAAAAGGAGAAAGAATTACCAAACTAACCACCCAAATCAAGAAGCAAAACATTAGAGAAAAAAACCAATAAAGGACGTGCAAATGAAAAGGCATATTCTATTATGTAGGAGGTATTATCTCTCAGCATGTATGTTTGTGAAGCTGGGGCTAACTCTGCAAACTGAAGTTCTTCTTTACAGATGATGTCCTATTAGGTTCTGCCAGTGGAATTTCTATACAAGAACGTGAAGCAGGAATAGAGGAAAAGGAACTTCCTTCTTCCTGTTCATTTGAGATTCTTTTCAGTATCCTTCCAACAACAGCAGTTGGCTCCAGTATCCAGCTTAATTTGGCACCCTCAGCCTCAGCCAAAGAATCCCCCCCTCAAACACATCAGTACTTCTGAAGAGCAGCACTCCTTCCTCAGAGGTCTAAGTCTGGCTCCGAGGGGTCTTTCTCCAATTCTACATTCAGATTAGCTCAGACTCTTTGATTCCCTGTGTTCCTCTAGCTCTAGGGGAGGTAGCTGCTTCCTGCAAATATCTCAGTTATTCCACTGTTCCCTTTTTGCTCTTTGAGCTCTCCAACATGTGTTACCAATTCTCTATATTAAATTATCCATTGAAATACCTAGTATTTGTTCTACTTTGCTGACTGAAACGCTGTAAGTAAATGACATAATTTTTATTATCAAAAGGAATGAAACATATCAGTTTAGGAGGAGAGGCATAGATAAAGTTTTACTAAGAACTAAATTCAAAGGGAAATCTTTCACCTGGGACATACAGAACTGTGAATTAGTTTGTGGAGTTTCAGAAGTGTTAGCAAAAAGAAAGCTCTAAGCACAACTGAGAAATGCTTTCATCCAACCAAGGTATGTATTACAAATAAGTATCGTACCACAAAGTTTTGAAAAACAGTATAAGCAATCATTTATGACTCACCTTGATTAATAGGAAATAAAATTGGACAAGACTCTGAGAGGAAGAAATTATCAATTTTAAAGATATTTTTAGTTCAGCAACCTAAGAAAGTACTATTTTTGTTACTTTCTTAATTTTATTTAACTTTAGCATATTCTTTAGAAATTAAGCTATTCCAAGTCTACAAGTTTAATTTGGCAGATACATAAATCTAGGGAACATTCTGGACAAAAATATAGTTACTGGTTCAACTCTTGTTCAGAAAAAAAGTCTATCACCTATTTTTCTCTCAACAGATTCTACCAGACCAAAAGAGATTCTTTTATATGCACCTCTTATCATATAGGTAATTTAAATGAGAATTAATGGGAGTTCTGAAGATATATAAAGTAGATGTAAATTGGTTAGAATGTCAGTAATTCTCAATAGTTATCACCATCAACAGGTATTAAAAATTGCTGGGTGGTAGCTGGTACGTAATAAAAATTTTAAAACAAGAACTGACCTTTCAGAGGCATACATGTAGAATACTAAAGAAGATTAGATTCTTTGGGTGTTATACTTTTCAGTATTTTGCTTTTCAAATTATTGTTTTCAAACGTACTGAATTTTTCAGAATACCAGGAAAAATTACACAAAAATAAGATGTTAAAATGTGTATTTGAACAGTTTACACAATAATGAGTTAACCATTAACACAAAGTAATGTTAAAAGTTATATACTTAAATATATATTTTACCAAAAAATATAGTCACTAACATCACTAAAAATTTGAAGACACAGTCTTAATCTTCAAGCATTAGCGTCTAAATTAATAAAAGATTGGGCATGGTGGCTCACGCCTGTAATCCCAACACTTTGGGAGGCCAAGGCTGGTGGATCATGAGGTCAGGAGTTCAAGACCAGCCTGGCCAAGATGATGAAACACCATCTCTACTAAAAATACAAAAATTAGCCAGGCGTGGTGGCAGGTGCCTGTAATCCCAGCTACGCGGGAGGTTGAGGCAGAGAATTGCTTGAACGCGGGAGGTGGAGGTTGCAGTGAGCCGAGATCGCGCCACTGTACTCCAGCCTGAGTGACAAAGCGAGACTCCATCTCAAATACATAAATAAATAAAATAAAATAAAATAAATAAAAGATATTGAATATGGCAATGTCACAAACACTACTAGTGCTTGTTATGCCAGGCTTTTATAAATGCACAAATCTTTAAAATAAGAATGATGATAATGTTTAATCTATGAAAAGTCCACATGTTTCAAAAACTGTGATCACATCTATTTGTTATTAGATTCATATAGGATCTCTGTGAAGGCTGATTCTACTTTTGAAACATGTTTTGACTCTTCTTACTTTATATTCACACTGCCACAATACTAAAGTCCCCACCCACCTTGCTCTTAGAACATTATAACTTCTTAATTGGTTTTCAGGTCTCAATCTTCTTAATCTAATCTACTATTTACATCTTCATCAATTTTGCCTTTATAAAACACAAACCTTTTATATCACCTCCATGCTCCCTTCTTGTAAGTTCTGTTAAATCCTCCTTGTCTAAAGGATAAAGCATAAGCACTCCAGCATGATATTAACCCCTTTCCAACCTAGTTCTATCGGCAACAGTTAGGTTAGAATAACAAACATGGCAGGTATTTCCTTTTCCCTGGTATACCATTCCACCTTTTTTTGTCTAAAGAATTCCTCGGCCAGGCATGTTGGCTCAGGTCTGGAATCCCAGCATTTTGGGAGGCTGAGGCAGGTGGATCGCCTGAGCTCAGGAGTTTGAGACCAGACTGAGTAACAAGGCGAAACCCCATCTCTACCAAAAATACAAAAGATTAGCCAGGCTGGTGCCGTGCACCTGTGGTCCCAGCTACTAGAGAGGCTGAGGTTGGAAAGATTGCTTGAGCCTGAGAGGCAGAGGTTCCAGTGAGCTGAGATCGCACCACTGTACTCCACCCTGGGTGACAGAGGGAGACCCCATCTCAAAAAAACAAAAAAAATTCCTCATCACGTAACCTCCAAAAAAAAGTCTTCCCTGACTTTCCTATCAGCAGAATTAATCATTCCCTCATCTGGGCTCCCAAAGAAGACTGTAATACCTGTACTCTTTTTTTGTGTGTGTATTGGTATAATCTTTAGCATAATTTCTAGTGTAAATCACTAGCATCTAATATAGTACCTATTGCATATTAGTTCCTCAATAGATATTTAATAAATAAATAAACAAATGAGAAAACAAATGACTGGAGAGGGAAGTGGTTATTACGTTCTTTTACACATGAGAAACCTAAGAAAAACTTCAGAAGTGATTCAGACCAGTACAAAGGTAGTGAGTTATCTCGACTGTTTACAGTCAGTTACAGAAGTTTACAGTCAGCTAAATTCCTGTAAATACTTAATGGGAAAAGATGAGAACCTGGATGACTCGCTGCTCTTTACTTTTCAACAAAAATTGACTTATTTTTTTAAAGTGTAATTATTCTATTAAGTTTAGCTAGTAATTAACTATAACCTGATAAAAATGATAAACTGTAAAACTAAAATTTGGTCTTAAGTTCTTTCATTTGAATCATTTATATGTATACACTTTAAAATTCTCCCCAAATAATTCCTGTTTATTCAAGTGCCATATCTGAACTTGCCTAGTTTAAAACATAACTTTTATGGAAATTATTATTTAAGTAATATATTGGTACTAGAAACACAGAAGGGGAAATAAGTAACAACTGAGAGGGCTTCTGGAGCATGCTGGAGCATTATCTGATTTTTATTGGTTAAGCATAGCTAGGAGATTCCAGGAGAAGGAAAGAGCATTTAGAAAGTCCTCACAGAATCTGTCATGGTTTGTTCATGCAACAATAAGATCTGCTTTGCTATAGAAGAAGCTTAGACGTAAGGTTGGCTACAGAACCAAGTTATGGAGGGGAAAAAAGGTTTTCCTTAGAAAAATAAATGTTATATTAATAAAGGATGATTTGAAAGGAAGTAAGAGTCAAAATTTGGAGTTTTCTGCCTTAGTCCATAAAGAATAGAAGCCTCAGTCATGGTAATGGCTTTGGGAAGAAAATGGGAGGGGTAAAACTACAGCAGAATGAAGAGGAAAATATTTGATAAATTTGGCTATTATGAATGTAATATAAAAATTTTGGAAAACTGTATTTTACAAACAAGAATTAAAATGGAGTTTTAAAAGTTACCCTGGTTTATACTCAAAATGAAAAACTATCTCCCACTTCCAAATCTTGTGTTTGACAAAATAAAAGGATACTGAACACAGAAGATGGCACAACAGGAATGGGAAACATCTGGCAGAAAGAAAGTGTTGGGGCACTTTAAGCAGGAGGAGAGAACATGGTAACTGCCATGGCTGGGGCAAACCAGACTAGGGAGAGATTTTGGCTGCAAACTTTTCTTTTCACATTGTCTTGATTGCATCATTATCCACTGTGTCACTATTTCAGAGCTAAAAAAGAGCAATATCAACAACTAGCCATAGGCAGCAGCGAACCTAATATACCATAGCATGCAATCCAGCTGGTTTGAGTTACCAGGAATAGGTGGAAAGGTTGGCTTTAGAGCATCAAACAGAATAGATGCAAACAAAAAAACATACACTTAAACATATTATCGTGGAACTTAATATCAGAGACAAAGAATACTCTGAAGGAAAGAAATAGTCACTTTCAAAGAAATAAGAATCAGATTAATTTTTTCAATAAAAGACCAATGAGTAATATTTTCTAAGAGTTGTAGAAAAAGAATTGGAAAGCTAAAAATTGATCTGCAGCTACACTATCAGTCTACTAGAGAAATGTGAAGATGAAATAAAGATATTTTCAGATGTAAAAATCCTCAGAAATGTTTATTGCACAAAGAAACACTTTTAAATAATATTTTGGAATTGCCTTGGAATTAGAGGTTACTCTCTTGAGCCAGACACCACTGATTATTTTCATTTCAATGAGATCCAAATTTAAGCATTATAAGCAATCTCTAAACTATATTTGATTTTAACCTCCTGAAATTAAAAACCTGAAGTATCTAAGCAGTCCTAGCCATCACAGTGGCCTGAAAATCTACTCTCCATTTGCAGTATCCCAAAGGCTTACCCTAATTAGCTCATTTTGAGTAAGTGTATTGATTTCTCTTTAAAAAAATGGTAAGGGCTCTTTTCTTAATCAGAGCAAAGTAAGGCAGCCAGTCCCACAATGTTAGAACTTAAAGCAGAGAACTTAAAATATATATGATAAATTATCACAAGAAAATGAAAGAGCAAAGTGACTTCTAGCATGACATTAACAAATAAGGCTCATAAATATACTCTGTTGCCTGTGTGAAAGGAAGGGATTTGGGAGAGAGTAGGGTAAAATGGGGATAGAGATGTACAATTCTTAATATTAATAACAATTATAAATATTTGGATCATAAATTTTTTATCCCTGTTTATGCTCAGTATTAATGATGTTAAATTAACTTTTTGGACTGCATGTGCACATCTTTGGAAGAAAATGTAAAAAGCAGCCTTCAGCCTGGCATGGTAGCTCACACCTGTAATCCCATTGCTTTGGGAGGCCAAGGCTGGAGGAATCACATGAGGCCAGGAGTTCGAGACCAGCTGGCCAACATGGTGAAACCCTGTCTCTACTAAAAATACAAAAATTAGCCGGGTGTGATGGCACATGCCTGTAATCCCAGCTAATTGGGAGGCTGAAGCATGAGAATTGCTTGAACCTGGGAGGTGGAGGATATAATGAGCAGAGATTGTGCCACTGCACTCCAGCCTGGGCAACAGAGCGAGACTGTCTCAAAAGAAGCAATATTCACCCTATGTAAATGTAAAAAGTAACTTCAAATTCTATCAAAGTAACTCTTCCACCAAGATATGGAGAAGAAAAAATTATTTGTATTTTGCATATTCATACTAGAAATAAATGTATAAGAATGTAAAAGATTAGTTTCATTTTTAGTTTAGACATTTAAAAACAGAATTATATAACTAAATGGTTAGTTTTCCACCAATATCTATAATTATAATCAAAAGATTAAAAAGTGCTTATTTAATAAGAATATTAAATTTTAGTAAATATTATGTACGATAGTCTAATCTCTCTTATATGATGTTACTTTATTGAAAATAAACTAAAAAATACAATTGAGTGCTTCAAAAACAGACCAGAACAAGCAGAAAAAAAGAGTCTCTGAACTTGAAGAAAAGTCTTTTGAAATAACCCAGTCCAAGGGGGAAAAAATAAGAGGAGCAAAAGAATGAAGAAAGCCTATGGGTCTTATGGTACACCATTAAGTGAAAAAAATATTTGCACTACATGAGTGCAAGAGGGAGAAGAGACAGAGAAGGTCACAGAAAATCTATTTCACATAATAATAGCTGAAAACTTCCCAAGTCTTGGGAGAGATATGAACATCCAGATGCAAGAAGCTCAAAAGGCCCCGATTATATTCAACCCCAAAAGTTCTACATTTCAATCCAACTGTCAAAAGTCAAGGACGAATAATTCTAAAAGCTGCAAGAGAAAAATGTGAAGTCACATATAAGGGAATCCCCACTAGACAGTCAGATTTCACAGCAGAAACCTTGCAGGTCAGGAGAGAATAGGAAGAGAAAGTACTGAGAAAAAAATCAGTCAACAATGTAACATCCAGCAAAAGCTATCCTCCAGAAATGAAGGAGAAATAAAGACCTTACCAGATAATTAAAAGCTGAGGTAATTCGTCACTACTAGAGTGGCCTTACAAAAAATGATAAAAGCACATGAAAGTATAAAACCCACCAGTAGATGTTAATTTATAACAAAGAATACGGAATTGCTCTAATAGTGCTATGTAAATCTTTCAATCCTTTAGTATGAAGATTTAAAGTCAAAATGGTGAAAAAACAGCAGCTACAAATAGTGGCTAAGGAACCCATCATACACAAAGATGTAAATCAAGATAACACAAATATAAATGGGAGAGAGAAAGGAGTGTAGCAGTGTTATGCAACCAAAGTTACATTATCAGCTTAAAATACTCTGTTACAACTACAGGATTCTTTATGTTAGCCCTATGGTGAAAACAAAGAAAGAAATTACAACAAATACACAAGTAAGAAAAAAAAAGTAAACAAGGCTTAGCAACACTGTTGAAACAACCAAACCAGATTTAAACAAGAAGAAAGGACCAAAGATCTAAAAAACAACCAGAAAACATTTAGCAAAATGGCTGAAGTCTTTACCTATTAATAACCTTAAATATTAATGGGTTAAATTCTCTGTATTAGTCTGTTCTCACATTGCTATAAGGAATTACCTGAGACTGGGTAATTTACAAAGAGAAGAGTTTTAATTGACTCACATCTCTGCCTGGCTGGGGAGGCCTCAGGAAATTTACAATCATGGCCGAAGGCACCTCTTCACAGGACAGCAGGAGAGAGAATGAGTGCCAGCAGGGGAAATGCCAGACGCTTATAAAACCATCAGATCATATGAGAACTCACTCACTATCATCAGAACAGCATGGGGAAAACTGCCCCCATTATTCAATTGCCTCCAACTGGGTCCCTCAAATAACAGGTGGGGATTATGGGGATTACAAATCAAGATGAGATTTGTGTAAAGACACTGCCAAACCATATCATTCTGTCCCCGGCCCCTCCAAAATCTCATGTCCTCACATTTCAAAACACAATCATGCCTTCTCAACAGTCCCCCAAAGTCTTATTCCAGCACTACCCAAAAGTCCAAGACCAAAGTCTCATGTGAGACAAGGCAAGTCCCTTCCACCTATGAGCATTTAAAACCAAAAGCAAGTTAGTTACTTCCTAGATACAATGGGGGTACAGACACTGGCTACTACACCCATTGTAAATGGGAGAAATTGGCCAAAACAAAGGGGCTATAGGCCCCATGCAAGTCCAAAATGCAATAGGGCAGTCATTAAAGTTCCAAAACAATCTCCTTTGACTCCATGTCTCAAATCTAAGCCATGCTGATGCAAGAGACAGGCTCCCATGGCCCTGGGCAGCTCTGCCTCTGTGGCTTTGCAGGGTACAGCTCCCCTCTCCTGGCTGCTTTCACAGCTGGTTTTGTGTGTCTGTGGCTTTTCCAGAAGCACGGTGCAAGCTGTTGGTGGATCTACCATTCTGGGGTCTGGAGGATGGTGGCCTTCTTTTCACAGCTCCACTAGGCAGTGCCCCAGTAGGGACTCTGTGTGGGGGCTATGACCCCATATTTCCCTTCTGCACTGCCCTAGCAGAGGTTCTCCAAGAGGGCTCCAACCCTACAGCAGACTTCTTCTTGGACATCCATCTATTACCATACACCCTCTGAAATCTAGGCAGAGGTCTCCAAACCTCAATTCTTGTTTTCTGTGCACCCACAGGCCCAACACCATGTGGAAGTTGCCAAGGCTTGAGGCTTGCACCCTCTGAAGCAACAGTCTGAGCTGTACCTTGACCCCTTTTTGCCATGGCTAGAGCAGGTGGAATGCAGGGCACCAAGTCCCAAGGCTGCACACAGCAAGGGGGCCTTAGACCTGGCCCAAGAAACCATTTTTCTCTCCTAGGCCCCTGGCCTGTGAAGGGAGGGGCTGCCATGAAGGTCTCTCTGACATGCCCTCGAGATATTTTCCCCATTGTCTTGGCAATTAGTGTTTGGCTCTTCATTATACAAATTTCTATAGCTGGTTTGAATTTCTCCCAGAAAATGGGTTTTTGTTTTCTACTGCATCGTCAGACTGCAAATGTTCCAAACTTTTATGCTCTGCTTCCTCTTGAATGCTTTGCTGTTTAGAAATTTCTCCTGCCAGATACCCTAAATCATCTCTCTCAAGTTCAAAGTTCCACAGTTCTCTAGGGCAGGGTCAAAAAGCTCTCTACTAAAGCATAGCCAGAGTGACCTTTACTTCAGTTCCCAACAAGTTTTTCATCTCCATCTGAGACCACCTCAGCCTGGACTTCATTGCCCATATCACTATCAGCATTTTGGTCAAAGCCGTTCAACAAGTCTGTAAGAAGGTCCAAACTTTCCCACACCTTCCTGTCTTCTGAGTCCTCCAAACTGTTCCAACCTCTGCCCATTACCCAGTTTCAAAGTTGCTTTCCACGTTCTTGGGTATCTTATAGCAATGCCCCACTCCTGGTACCAATTTACTGTATTAGTCTGTTCTCACATTGCTATGAGAAAACACCTCAGACTGGGTAATTTATAAAGGAAAGGGAGAGAATAAGTGCCAGCAGGGGAAATGCCAGTAGCTTATAAAATCATCAGATCTCATGAGAACTCACTCGCTATCATGAGAACAGCATGAGAAAACCACCCCCCATGATTCAATCACCTCTCACTGGGTCCCTCCCATGACACACGGCGATTATGGGGATTACAATTCAAGATGAGATTTGTGTGGGGACATGGTCAAACCATATCATTCTCCAATTAAAAGATATAGTGTGGCTGAATCGATAAACAAGACCCTACTATATGTTGCCTACTCATTAAAGACAAATGGACTGAAAAGAGATGGAAAAAGATATTCCTTATAAATAAAAACCAAAAGTGAACAGGAATAAACATATTATATAAAATAGAACAGATTTTTAGTCACAAATAATTTTAAAAGACTATGGAGCTCATTATATTAACGCTAAAGGAGTAACTTCAAAAAGAGGATGTAGCAACTGTAAATATAGATGCACCCAACAGAAAAGCACCAAAATATAAAAAGCACATATTATTAGATCTACAAGGAAACAGACACTGAAATATAGTAATAGTAGGGGATTCCAAGACCCCACTTTCAACAATGGACAGATCATCTAGACAAAAAATAAAAAACCATTGGACTAAGATTGCACCATAGACCAAGTGGACCTAACAGACATTTATAGAACATTCCATCCAACAGCTACAGAATACACATTCTTCTCAACTGCACATGCAACATTCTCAAGGATATGTTAGGCCACAAAATAAGTTTTAAGAGATTTAGGAAGAGAGAGATCATATCAAGTAACTTGTATGGCCACAATCATATAAAACTAGAAATCAATAAGAAAAATTTGGGAAATTGTAAAAATACATGGAAACAAAACAACATGCCCCTAATAACCAGTGGGTCAATGAAAATCAACAAGCATTTTTAGTTAGACTAAGAAAAAAAGAAGACTCAAAATCAGAGTCAAAAAAGAGGACATTACTACTGATATCACAGAAATACAAAGTATCATAAGAGACTTTTATGAGCAACTATATGCCAACACACTGATAGCAGAAAAAAGTGGATAAATTCCTAGACACATACAATCTACCAAGATAAATTATCAATTAAAAAATGGGGTCAGGCATGGTCACTCATGCCTGTAAACCCAGCACTTTGGGAGGCCAAAATGGGCAGACTGCCTGAGCTCAGGAGTTTGAGATCAGCCTGGACAACATGGAAAAACCCTATCTCTACAAAAATTAGCCTAATATGGTGGTGCACGACTGTAGTCCCAGCTACTTGGGGGGCTGAGGCATGGGGATTGCCTGAGCCCAGGAAGTCGGGGCTGCAGTGAGTCAAGATCACACCACTGCACTCCAGCCTGAGTGACAGAGCAAGACCCTATCTCCAAACACACATACACACACACACACAATTGAACAAACCAATAACAAGTGTGGAAACTGAATGTGTAATAGAAGTCTTCAAAGAACAGCTCAGGACCTGATGACTTCACTGCTGCACTCTACCATAAACATTTAAAGAACTAATACCAATGTTCTTCAAACTATTCCAAAAAAATAAAGAGGAAGAAACAATTCTAAACTCATTTTACAAAGCCAGCATGATTGTGATTCCAAAACCAGAGAAGGACACAGCAAAGAAAAAACACAGCAAAGAAAAAGCAAACTACAGGCCAATATCCCTGAAACATAGATGTGAAAACTCTCAAAAAGATACTAGCGAACCAAATTCAAAAATACATTAAAAAGATCATTCAGTATACTAAAGTGGGATTCACCCCAGGGATGCAAGGATGGTTCAACATATACAAATGAATAAAAATGACACACATTAACAGAAGGACAAAAGCCACATGATCATTTCAACAGACACAAAAAAGGCATTTGACAAAATTCAACATCTCTTCCTGACAAAAAAACTATCAACAAATTGAAACAGAAGTTATCTACCTCAACACAATTAAAGGCCACACTTGACAAATGCACAGATAACATCATACTGAATGTTAAGATCAAGAACGAGATAAAGGCTGGGCGCGGAGGCTCACGCCTGTAATCCCACCACTTTGGGAGGCCTAGGCAGGCAGATCACTTGAGCTCAGGAGTTCGAGACCAGCCTAGACAACATGGTCAAACTAGAAATACAAAAATTAGACAGGCATGGTGGTGCATCCCAGCTACTCGGAGGCTGAAGCATGAGAATTGCTTGAGCCTGGGAGGTGGAGGTTGCAGTGAGCAAGATCGTGCCACTGCACTCCAGCCTGGGTGACAGAGTGAGACCCTGCCTCAAAAAAAAAAAAAAAAAAAAAAAAAAGAACAAGACAAAGTTGCCCACTTTCACTACTTTTATTCAACATAGGAATGAAAGTTCTAGCCAGAACAATTAGGCAAGACAAAAAAAAAAAAAAAAAAAAAAAAACCCAAATGGGAAAGGAAGAAACCAAATTGTTCCTATTTGCTGACAACATGATCTTATATACAGAAAACTCTAAAGACTCCACCAAAAACTGTGAGAAGAAACAAATTCAGTATAGTTTCATGATACAAAATTAACATACAAAAACCAGTAGTGTTACTATCCACTAATAGTGAGCTATCTGCAAATAAAATCAAGAAAATTTCTACTTCATGTTTGAAGGATATTTTCACTACATATACTATTCTAGGGTAAAATATTTTTTTCATTCAGTACTTTAAATGTCATGCCACTCTCTCCTGTAAGGCTTCCACTGAAAAGTCTGCTGCCAGATGTATTGGAGCTCCATTGTATGTTACTTGTTTCTTTTCTCTTACTGCTTTTAGGATCCTTTCTTTTTCCTTGATCTTTGGGAGTCTGATTAGTAAGTGCCTTGAGGTACTCTTCTTTCAATTAAATCTGCTTGGTATTCTACAACCTTCTTGTATGTGAATATTGATATCTTTCTCTAGATTTGAGAAGCTCTCGTTATTATCCTTTTGAATAAACTTTCTACCTCTATCTCTTTCTCTACCTCCTCTTTAAGGCCAATAACTCTTAGATGTGCCCTTTTCAGTCTACTTTCTAGAACCTGTAGGTGTGCTTGTTTTTAATTCTTTTTTCTTTTGTCTTCTCTGACTATATTTTCAAATAGTCTGTCTTCAAGCTCACTTTCTTCTGCTTGATGAATTCTGTTATCAAAAGGCTTGAATGCATTCTTCAGTATGCCAGTTGCACTTTTCAACTCAAGAATTTCTGCCTGATTCTTTTTAATTATTTCAATCTCTTTGTTAAAATTTACCTGATAGAATTCTGAGCTCCTTCTCTGTGTTGAGTTTGAGTTTTCTCAAAGTAGCTATTTTGCATTCTCTGTCTGAAAGGTCCCATATTTCTGTGTCTCCAGGATTGGTCCCTGGTGCCTTAGTTAATTTTGTGAGGTCATGTTTTCCTGGATGGTGTTAATGCTTGCAGGTGTTCTTTGGTGTCTCGGCATTGAAGAGTTAGTTATTTATTGTAGTTTTCTCAGTCTGGGATTGTTTGTACCTTCTTAGAAAGGCTTTCCAGATATTTTAAAGGACTTGGGTGTTGTGATCTAAGCTCTACCTGCTTTAGGGTGTACTCCAAGCCCAGTAATATTGTGGTTCTTGCATCTTCATAGAGGTGCCACCTTGATGGTCTTGGACTAGATCTGGAAGAATTTTCTGGATTATCAGGCAGGGACTCTTGTTCTCTTCCCTTATTTTCACCCCAATGAAAGGACCCTCTCTCTGTTCTGAGTCACCTGGAGCTGGGGGTGGTGTGACACAAGCACTCCTGTGGCTACCACCATTAGTACTGTACTGTGTCAGATCTGAAGCCAGCACAGCACTAGGTCTTGCCAAGGCCTGCAGTAACCACTCCTTGGCTATGGCCTATGATCACTCAAGGCCCTGGGGTTTTACAATCAGCAGGTGGCAAAGTCAGCCAGGCCTGTGTCCTTCCCTTCAGGTTGGTGAGCTTCCCCAAGCCATGGGTGTGTCCAGAGGTACTGTCTGGCAGCTAGGAACTAGAGGCAAAAATCTTAGAACTCTACCTGGTATTTTATTGTATTGCAGCTGAGTATTGTGCCACTCAAACCACAAAATTCAGTCCTTCTCCTTTCTTCCTTCCCCTTTCCAAAGGCAGAGGAGCCTCACTCGTGGCCACTGCCACAACAGGCTCATAAGGAGCCTCTAAAACTACCACTGATATTCCCTTAAGGCCCAAAGGTTCTTCAGTCCACTTGTAGTGAATGCTGCCTGACCTGGGACTCACCCTTCAGGGCAGTGGGCTCACCTCTGGCCCAGGGCAGGTCCAGCAATGCCGTCTAAGAGCCAAGTCCTGAAATTGGGGCTCCAAGAGCCTCTTTGGTGTCCTATCTCTGTAGCCAAGCTTCTACCTAATGTGCAAGACAATGTCCCCTTTGCATTTCTCTCTGCTTTTCTCAAGTGGAAGGAGTCTTTCTCCACAACCACCACAGCTGGGAATGTGCTGAGTCTCACCTGAAGCCAGTAAGCCTCAGAACCTCACCCAAGGCCCTCAATGTAGTACACGTGGGTATTGCTGCTGGTTATGCAGGGCACAAGGGATCTTCAGTTAGCAGGTGATGAATCTTGCCAGGATTGGGTACTTCCCTTCAAGGCAGCAGGTTGCTTTCTGATGCAGTGAGTGTCTACGAATGTTGCCCGGGAGCTAGGGCCTAGAAAAAGGGCTCACAACTTTGACTGGTTCCCTATCCTGTTGTGGCTGAGCTGGTATCCAAGATGCAAGACAAAATCCTCCCCACTTTTTACCCTCCTCTCCTCAAACAGAAGGAAAGAGTCTGTTTTGGAGATGTGAGCTGTGTATCCTGAGGTTAGGAGAGGGGTGATGCCAGCATTCCCTTAGCTGCCCCAGCAGGTGCCTCAGTAGGTCACGTGTCCCTTCCAGTTCACTGTCTCTGGGCCTAGTTCAGCAGCATTACTCACATAGGAATTGAAATCCTTGTGGCCTGGACTGCTTTTCAAGATTATTTAGAGCCCCAGAGTACTTCCGCCTGCTTTGGTGAGGCTTGCAAGAACTCAGGTTCCTGCCGCCAGCATCTGGGAATCCTCTCTGGTTAGGGCTGGTTTAAATTATCCTTCTGAGGGTGGGTGTCAGCCATTTTGTTTTCTGTTATAATAGGGCAGCACTGGGTTCAGTGCCTCACAAATGCTGCAATCTCCCTCTCCCCAGTGCACCAAAACGCTCTCCATGCCATGCCACTGCTGCTTGGAGACAGGGGAGGGATGGTGTCTGCAATTCAAAACTGTTTTTCCTACCTCTTCAATGCCTCTTTCAGCAATAAGAAGTTAAAACCAGTTATTGTGAGTGCTTACCTGATTTTTAGTGCTTATAAAGGTGGTTTTTGTGTGTGCAGATAGTTAAATTGGTATCCTTGCAGGGTTGGTAGAGGGGAGGGTGACTGGTGGAGCCTTCTATTCTGCCATCTTATTCCAGCCCAAAGTCAGCCAACTGATTTTTTGACAAAGGTCCCAAGAACACACATTGGGGAAAGACAGTATTGTCAATAAATGGTGCTAGAAAAATTAGATATCCACATGCAGAAGAATGAGACTAGACCCCTACCTCTCATTATATACAAAAATAAAATAAAAATAAATTAAAGACCTCAAACTATGAAACTACTAGAAGAAAATATGCAGGAAGAACTTCAGTACCTGGGCTGGGCAAGGATTTTTTAAATAGGGCTTCAAATGCACAAGCAACAAAAGCAGAAAGAGACAAATGGGATTATATCAAACTAGAAAGCTTTTGCACAGCAAAGGAAACAATTAACAGAGTGAAGAGTTAACCTACAGAATGGGAGAAAATATTTGCAAACAATACATCTAATTAGGGGTTAATATCCAGAATGTAAAAGGAAATTACCTCAATGGTTAAAAAAAAAACCCAAATGTGATTCAAAAATTGGTAAAAGACCTTAGCCAGCATTTCTGAAGACACACAAATGACCAACAGATGTATGAAAAAATGTACATCATTAATCAGAGAAATGCAAATCAAAACCACAACGAGATGTTGTCTCATTCCAGTTAGAAAAGCTATTATCAAGAAGGCAAAAGAAAACAAGTGTTAGTAAAGATATTGAGAAAAGGGAACACTTACATACTACTGGTGGAATTGTAAATTAGTATAGCTATTATTTTAAAAGTACAGAGTTTTCTCAAAAAACTAAAAATAGAACTACCCACACTCTCACTACTGGGTATATATCCAAAGGAAATGAAATTAGTATAAAAGGCATTTGAACTCCCACGTTTACTGTAGCACTATTTACAAGACACAAGATACAGAACTAACCTAAATGTGCAACAATGAATGGATAAAGAAAACATGGTATATATACACCATGGAATACTGTTCAGCTATAGGAAAAAAAAGAATGAAATTCTGTCAGTTGTGACAACACGGAGGAACCTGGAAGACATTACATTAAGTGAAATAAGCCAAACACAGAAAGTCAAATACCACATAATCTTACTCATGTGGAATCTTAGGAAAAACGTTGGTAACATAGGAGCAGAGAGTAGAACAGCGGTTACTAGAAACTGTGGAGGGGATACATAAAGGGAAGATAAAAAGAGGTTGTTCAACAAGTACAAAGTTATAATTAGATATAAGGAATAAGTTTTGGTGTTCTATTGCCCAGCAGGGTGACTATAGCTACAGTACCCTACAGCTATAGGGTGAGTAAAGCATAGCACAAAATAGCTAGAAGAGAGGCTTTCCACATTCTCACCACAAAGAAATGATAAATGCATTAGTTGATGGATACGCTAAATACCGTAATTTGATCACTATACAACATATATGTATTTAAACATCAAATTGCACCCCCAAAATATGTACAATTACAATGTGTGGAGTATAAAGGTAACAACAAATTTTGAAAACTAAAGAAAAACCTGGGTTTCTACTTTATAAATAAGACAAAAGTGACCTGATAAAAATGGGAGTAGGTGTCCTAGATGATTTTAAAACTTTTCATAATTATGTATAAAGAATTATTTAAGATTTCCTTTCAGAATCTTTGATTTAGTGGAAAAATGATGAAAAAGCATTCTAGCAATAACTATTGGAACAATGAAATACATTTTTTAAAAAACTCATCTGATAAAGCAGTATACACACACCCACACTCAGACACATACAAATGTGTATATCTGAATAACATTTAGCCACAACTCATATATTATTCATTAAAAATGATTATTATTCTTCCCAGAGAAGTAATTCATTTAGAACAATTTCATTAGTAGTTGATTGAAAACTTGCTTAATATGCAATTTAATTAGGATTCTAAAATGACCCATGATATTAAACTAAGCTACATTTTTCTACAGACCTATTTTTTGTTACGTTATTAGGATAAGCTTCTCTGTTAATTACATCTTTAAAATAAATGCAAGAAAAATTATGCCACTCTTCTAAATTGTTTAGTTATCAAAGGGATATCAAATTTCAAGGATACAGAGAGATTACAGAGCAATTTCATTCCTAATATTATCTTTAAAATCTGTATTAGTAATAGTTTATATTTATTGGACACTTAACATTGGGCTAGGTGCAGTTCTAAGTCCTTTACAAGTATTAACTAATCTAGTCATTATGACAATCTATTATCCCCATTTCACAGAGGAGTCAACTAGGCAAAGCAAGTAAAGAAAATGGGCAGAATTACATCTGTAAGCAGCAGATCTGGAATTTTAAACAAAGCAGTGAAGTTCCATGCTCCATGCTTTACGTCATTAAACTGCATTAAGAATGAATGGTAAAAATATCTCATTTCAGTCCTATTTTAACATTTTATATTATCTTACCAATAAGATTTTATAAAAAATAATGATAAACTATATTAAACTAAAAATTCTATGAAAAACATTTTTTCTTATTAAAGGTTCATTTATAAATAAACCTTGATTTGAGTCCTTATCCCTTTTGCTTTATTATCTAGTGTTTTACCTTAAAATGCATGAATATAATAGACCACAAAGACTTTAACTTTGACTCTCTTGCTTTCCCTCTCACACACGACACACACATTCATATATGCACACATGTGCTCAAGAACTTGGCATTTGCCATTGTAAATGCCTGACATACTGCTTTACTTCTGTATTAGCAATGAAAAGTGACTCTTACATTCAATCCAACAAGACATTAAGGAAATGTTCCAACCAAAAGATGAAACCCAGAGTTGCATCACTTCTTCCAAATCCATCATTTTTGTTGTACCACCTAAGGAGACACTAGCTATTCAATTATCCTTGGTTCCATGACTACGTTTTACAGAAAGGGAAGTTTAAACATGTTTAATGCCTATACAATTTTAAATATTTTTCTCTCTTAAGATATAAATTCATTTCCCAGTTCTATTGTCCTGCATTCAAAACTACTTCACAAAAAAGGAGCATTTGTTCTTATCTGCGTCTATTAAAGATGATCGAACTAGTTCATGATTCACAAAAGCTACAGATTAGTCCAAAATTCATAAGCTCCACTTCTTCCTTTAGTTTCAACCAATCTGAACATAGCTCAAACACATAAAGCCAAAGATGTAGGTTTTAAAAATTGCAAAATATAATTTCTTTGCATGTTCAAACCTTTTGAAGGGGAAAGAGAGAAAATTTTCCCTGTACAATAAAGAATTATAGTGCTATATCTACTTAGCTTTGCCATCTCAGTTCTCTCCTTTGGCTATTCAACAAGTTTGAAGGTTAGAAACAGCCCAGATCTAAACAATGAGTTAAACTGACACCTTTTCCCTATTTCAATCTGATCAAAAAATGTATTTTGGACCCTTGCCTGAATATAAGTACTTAGGTATTCCTGTGAGTTCCTAACTTATTCAGCCCAATAGGAATTAAAGTTACAATTTCTGGGCTTTACATAATTTATTTTTAGAATCTCCAGCAACCTTCTATTACTAATTTAATTACAAAAGGCCAATACACTTTTTTTTTTTTCCTGAGCCGGAATTTCGCTCTTGTTGCCCAGGCTGGAGTGCAATGGTGCGATCTTGGCTCACTGCAACCTCCGCCTCCCGGGTTCAAGTGCTTCTCCTGCCTCAGCCTCCTGAGTAGCCAGAATTACAGGAATGTGCCACCATGCCCAGCTAATTTTGTATTTTCAGTAGAGACAGGGTTTCTCCATGTTTGTCAGGCTGGTTTCGAACTCCTGGCCTCAGATTATCCCACCCGCCTCGGCCTCCCAAAATGCTGGGATTACAGGCATGAGCCACCGCACCTGGGCACCAATGCACATTTCTAACTTACCAATGTAAAATATTCTACAAATTAAAAAAGAAGAAGAAATCAATAATTATTTTATTAAAAGTCATGAGTCATCCTTGGCCTGCAGTAGAAGGAGAGATGCCAGGTGGAGATGCTGGGCAGTACTCTGACTTCTGCCTGCTCCCTGAAGTAAGAAGCATATTGCTCCTCCCCTGCAGTGCCTGTGGGTGGAATTCTGGGCTCCACTTCACTACTGAAGTAACGAGAGGGCATGCCCTCCCTCTCACAGCTGGCTCTGTGGAGACTGTGGGGAGGAGGTAGTGATGGCAGTGGTGGTGGTAAAGTCCTGTCATATAAGACACAAGTGAGGCAGACCAGAATAGCACTGCAGATATTTTATAAACCAAATTGATGTTGGAACCACAACCTATAGAAGTGAATCAAGACATGCATTCTGAACTTAAATAGGTTGACTACCTGCTTAAAAAAAAAAAAAAACAACAAGATTTAAATACGAACCAGAGTCTTACAAATATTTAAAATGTTCAGGATATAGTACAAAGTTATTCATTATACCAAGAACCAGTAAAACTTCAATTTAAATTTAAAAAGAAAGATTATCAGATGCAAACACCAACATGACACAGAAGTTGGGATTCTTGAACAAGGACTGTAAAGCAGCCATCATAAAAATGTTTCAAGGACCAATTACGAAACTATTCTAACAAACTCAGTAATCAAATCAAATACCAGCCCTTAAAAAAAAAAAAATCATCAAAAGGAAACTGCTTCTCACGAAAGCCTCCTATCTCCTTTGTCAGTAGAACCCTTCTGTTTTATTTAGCCCTTTTGCTCATAATTTATTAAGATTCTTAAATTCTTAGAATCTACTGAAGTTAATATTTTGATATTTTAAAAGTCAAATGTAGGTACTGCATTAGATTCTTTACACATATTGTTAATAGTATTCACATTATGTAAAATGTTAATATTTTAGTAAAACTTAACTATATCTTTGGTTTTCTTTGGTCATTTCCTTTTCATCATTCTCTGTCAGATATCTAGAATAGCCAGACATTTGCATATTTTTTATTAATGGCATTTCTTGCTTGCCTTATGGAGCTTCAAGGTCCTCATATGGAAAAAAGACTCCTATTACATTGGGAAGTCATAATGCTATCTGTCATGAGTTTTTGTGAGTCCTTGGCTCCATGAAAATAAAATAGTGTCTACTGTCAAAATAAGCCTAGCTGGTGTTTACCTTTTATATAATAGTGTTTTCTCCCCTTAAACATAAAGCAGCAGAGAATGCACACTAAATCAGCTACAATAACACTTTTGGATGCCTTAAATTATTAGTCACAATCAGTAATGTAGACTTAATTTATATTTTCCAATCCCTTTAATCACTAGAAACATTTCAGGATCTCCATATTCCAGTTTCAACATGATGGTAGTTTTTCCTAATGATCCCTAACAGGAAAATTCTAAAATTCTAGCTGTTAAAAGATAAACACATTAATTCCATATCTATCAGTATTTCCCTTAAAGGAGCTCAAGTTTGGGAAAGAACAAACTCGGAAAACATTTTTTTTAGAATAAGAGTTTGCCTTGTGGTAAGATTTTAAATTGAGTATTAATCTAAACCCCTAACAGCAATTTTGAAATTGCTAAATTCCAGAATCTTTAGAGTGGCTGGATAAACATTCTCTCTCAGTTGAAATAACACACTAGTAGATCTCCTCTCCAGCTCACTTATAAACATATCTAAAATAAACTGATTTTCTCATAAACTAATAGTTCTAATTAAGAAAAAAAGCAGTGGAGAGATGAGAGAAGCTGAGTTTTGGAGAAAACTACTTCAAAATAATTAAAGTATTCTTGCACATTTACCTCTGATGTGTTAAGAAAAACAGGTTGGAAAAGTTTCTTGGAACTGTAGTATTACTAAGGCATCTCGTGCAAAATAACAGGATAAAAATCAAGCTAAACCTAGACCAGCTGTCAGTATACTTAAATGAAATGCCTGTTATATTATATTATATTATTTATTTATTTATTTATTTTGAGACAGAGTCTTGCTCTGTCGCCCAGGCTGGAGTGCAGTGGTACAATCTTGGCTCACTGCAACCTCTGTCTCCCGGGTTCAGGTGATTCTCCTGCCTCAGCCTCCCAAGTAGCTGGGACTACAGGTGTGCACCACCATGCCTGGCTAATTTTTGTATTTTTAGTAGAGATGGGGGTTTCACCATGTTGGCCAGGCTGGTCTTGAACTCCTGACCTCAGGGGATCCTCCCACTTCGGCCTCCCAAAGTGCTGGGATTACAGGCGTGAGCCACTGCGCCCAGCCACCTATTATATCATTTAAAGAGTAGATATACAAAGATTAAATTGGGAACAAGGATGTTTAGCAACTTTGTAGCGCTCTATTTGGTCAACTAAGGCAAGTCAAAGAAAACAAAGGGACAGAAAGCTGAAACTTGATTAATTGAATTGGTTTGAAATGTGACATTGAGAAGAGCTAAAAGGAATATCTGGGATTATATCAACAGTTGTAAAAAGTGGGAAAAATATTTCATATATCTTGATTGAGCTAATAATTAAAAACAAATACACAAACCAAATAGTCTTGTAAATACTGAAACAATGGAATTCTATATGACCAGAAGTAAGGACAGAAAAGCAAGGCAAGATTAAACTTCAGTGGTTTCACATTGAGAGAAGTGGTTACATCAAGATCCTATAGCTAAAAAAAAAAAAAAAAGAAAAAAAAAAAAGAAAAAAATTAATATATTTAAGAAGCAGGAATGTCTATATTTATTATTGATCCCTCATTTAGCAAAAATCATTGTTTTTGTTTTCCTAAATGGTTTAAGAGCTTCGATTTTTCAGCATCTTCAACTACTTCCTCAACGGGATCTTTCTCATTAGCCTAAAACCAACCTAATACTTACTTTCCCTCTCTAAGAAAAAAACACAATGGGCCCTGTATCTTGATCACCTTATTTCACTACTCTCCTTTATAAGCACATTTTAAAAAAGAATTGTCTAGATACATTGACTCCAGCTCCTCATCTCCTATCTCTAGTCAGCCTTTAAATCTAACTTCCAGTCTCCTTATTCCACCTAAACTTTACTTGTCAAGGTCACCAGTGACCACTTTTATTCTGAATATCCAGTGGTCAATTCTGTCCTCGTTTTGTTTAACCTCTCAGAAGCTATTCGGCCTAGTTAACAATTTCATTCCTAACTAAAGATTCCTCAAGGTTTCTATGGTAACACAGTCTTCAGTTCTTTTTTCGTTTTTTGTTTTTGTTTGTTTGTTTCCCTATAATAACTCTAAATTTTTTTCTCATAATAACTCTACATTTTGACATTACTCAAGGGCACCCACTGCTCTTCATCTGCTCTGCCACCGTAATGTAAGCTGCCATCTGCTCTTACCTGGACTACTGCAGGAGCTTCCTGAATGCTCTCCTTACTTTCTCACCATCTTCTACACAACAGCTTTCTTCAAAAACTTTTTGAAATTGTAAACTAGATCATACCCACTCTACCTATAACTTCCATGGTTTCCCATTGCACTTGGAATAAAATTCCTTATCCCTGTCTTAGTCTGTTCTGGTTGCTATAACAAAACACCATAAACTAGGTGTCTTATAAACAACAGAAATGTATTTCTCACAGTTCTGGAGTATGAGAAGTCTAAGATCAAGACACCAGCAGATTCTGTATTTGGTGAGCACCTGCTTCCTGATTCACAGATGGCAGTCTTTTTGAAGTGTCCTCACGTGGAGGAAGGGGTAAGGGATCCCTCTGGAACCTCTTTAATAAGAGCACTAATCCTATTTGTGAGGGCTCTATTCTTATGCCCTAATCATACCTCCCAAAGACCCCATCTACAAATACCATCACTTTGAGAGTTAAGACTTCAACATATGAATTTCAAGAGGGAAACAAACATTCAGATCATAGCATCCCCTTACCTCATCTACTCTATCCTTTGGTCTCTATACTCCAATCACACTGACATCCTTTCAGTTTTATTGAATGCGCCAAACATTTTCTCTTCTCTGGGAATTTGTGTATGCTGTCACCTTGGCTTGAAATAGTCTTCCCCTCCAACTCTGTCTGGCTAGCTTCTCATTGCTCATATCTTGGATTCCATTTCACTTCTCAAACAAGATACTCCCTAACTATCCAGGCCAAAATAGGTCTTCTCCCTTATTATAACACCACTTGTGCTTTCCACCCACAGCATCTGCAATAATTTGTAATAATATATTTTATTTATTTACTTGCTTCATCTTCTAATATCTCTCTTACGAACTAACTGTAAACTCCACAAGGTAGGTACCATGACTATTCTGTCCACAAGTATCTCTGCATAGTCCCTAGCATAAAAATCACTGAAACACATTACGTACTCATTAAAATATTCTGAATGAATGACAGACCAATAATATTGTGAAATAAATAATAATAATTTGCTTGAAAAAGGGTAAAATGAATGATCATATATTATAAATGACCATTCATAATAAAAGTACCTTTGATAAATGTTAAATGAGTAGTTAAAAGAGAGTGCTTACATATGCCAGACACTATTATAAAAGCTTTACATATATTAATGCATTTAATCCTCATGAATACTATCATTGCTGGTGATGATAGTAAGTAATGATAGTAAGTACTATCATTATATCCATTTTACAGAAAAGTCGAGTAACTTTCCTAAGCTATACAATTAGAAAGTTCTAGAACTGAAATTTGAACCCCACCGGTCTGGCTCTGGAAGTCCCATTTTTATCTCTGTTATATAAGTGAAGAGAATTCAAAATATTTAACTGCATTATTAATTAATTAGCATTCAAAATCATAATTTTATTTTAGGGGAAATTATGATTTCCCCTAAAATAGTAATTTCTCCTAAAATGAAACCTTTGAGCAACATATTCTATAATTTGTCCTTCTGGCCACATACTTCAATGTTCCTATGATATTGTACTCTACCCAGATTCTACACTGTTACCTTTGTATGTAGGAATCAGGTAATTAGGGGGTGTGTTGTGGCAGAAATCCAACATCAGAGAACTAGTAATGGGCTATATCTACATTCCAAATGAGGGTTTGGGCTGGGCGTGGTGGCTCACGCCTGTAATCCCAGCACTATGGGAGGCTGAGGCAGGTGGACCACCTGACGTCAGGAGTTAAAGACCAGCTTGGCTAATATGGTAAAAACGCATCTCTACTAAAAATACAAAAATTAGCTGGGTGCCGTAGTGTGCACCTGTAGTCCCAGCTACTCGGGTGGCTGAGGCAGGAGAATCACTTGAACCCGGGAGGCGGAGGCTGCAGTGAGCCGAGATCATGCCATTGCCTTCCAACCTTGGTGACAGAGTGAGACTCCATCTCAAAAAAAAAAAAAAGTAAAAAAAAAAAAGTAAATGAGGGTTTGGGGAAAGGCAGAGAATACAGTGAGTTTCTAATCTTGAGTTGGGTCACAGGAGGCAAATAATCTACATGTAAGCCTTTGAAGTCATTCGTATAGTCTTCTTTACATAATAATCGAAAAAAGTTTTCTCAGAATTACAAAGAAGGTATGTATGTGTGCTGGCAGTGAGGGAGAGAGACTAGCCATAAAATCAGATGTGCCTGATGAAGAGAAGCAGTTAGTGCAAGGAAGTCTAAATGACACATCCAAGTAAACTTTGCACAGATGGAAGAGTCAACTGTGGGAACTTTGAAGTGCAAAACTTCAAAGAATGTAGTTTAAAAAAAAGTGGCTTAGTAGAAGACTGCACACTTAGCAATATGAGCTGTCCTCGCAACTTCATTAATGATCACTAAAACTACAAAATCACATCAACGGATTTCTTATAAAAAACAGAGATATAAGTTGTGCTTTAAGGTTAAATCAAATGTGGAGCAAAAACAACATGGACTTTGCAAATTCAGAAGTAGGCAGAGAAAATTATAGGGGACTAAGGTGCCAAAACTACAGAGTAGACTCTAATCTTCCCCCAAACTCTGGAAATTGAGTCAAACAAGTTAACCTGTATTTCACAGAGAAGGAAACTTTCCAACAAATACCTGGATTATGTCTCCAAAATGTAAGATGAGATCTTTGCAATAATTAAGGTTACTTTTGCCATTGGTTTTCTGTTTAGTAAGAGGTGAACTTAGTCAATTATGCAAATTATTCCATTTTCATATTATTACTAAGTAAAAACTGAAAACAATCACACATTATTCTCAGAATAAATAGCTATATTACATAATAATATATATACATATGAATACCTACATGGTTGTACTATGTATATACATTTTAAGAACTGCATGAATTGGGAAAATCATTAGAAAATACAAAACTGCCAATGTCACTTAAAAAAAAGTTGGAAACTGGGCTCAGAAACTGTTACAAGAAGCATAGCCCTGAGAGGAAGAAAATTATCAAACATCAAGACAAGGAATGAACTGCTAAAGGGAAGAACTGAAATTATGTGAATATGATTACTTATTTAAAGATAAGGAAAGATCTATTTCATAAAAGAGAGAGTAAAAAATACTAACTTTGATGTGCACTGGTATGAAGAAAGGAGGTCATGGGCCATGACTTCACAGTTAGGAACCTCTGCAATGTGATTACTTGTATGACTCAGGCAGAAATGGGGAGCACATGGTTACGATGCGGGAGAAAAAGCAAAAGAATCAGAAGAATATTCCACTACTAACCTGGTTTAGTTTCTTCCAGAGATTGAGGACAGGAGAAAGTTCATTAGACCAGATTTCTCTATCAAATTTGGAACCAGCTGTTATGGATCTGCCCAAAATCCTCAACTGTGAAATAACCTGAATAAAAAAATAATAAGTATCAACAAATAAAAAGAACTTCAGCCGAACAGGAAGAAAGAACATAGGTACAAAAACAGACATTTTGTTTTATAAAAATAGAGACCAAAAATGTTGTCAACAGTTTATAATCTTATTATCTCTCTTCAATTGGCTTAATATTTTACTGTTTTATTTAAGCAGTTTAAAAAACAAAAGAACTCAAAGTTGGGGAAAACCGATTTTTAAATTGTATACTATAATGGCTTGTATTTGAAAGATGCTTCATTTGTTGTTGTTATTTGGATTTTTTTGAGACAGGGTCTTGCTCAGACACCCAGGCTAGAGTGCAATAGCGCAATGATAGCTCACTGCAGCTTCAAATCCCTGGGCTCAAGCGATCCTCCCATCTCAGCCTCCCTACTAGCTGGGATTACAGGTGTGTCCCACCATGCCCAGCTAATTTTATTTTTGGTAGAGACCATGTCTCAGTATGTTGTCCAGGCTAGTCTTGAACTCCTGGGCTCAAGCGATCCTCCCACTTCGGCCTCCCAAAATGCTGGGATTATAGGCGTGAGCCACCAGTCCTGGCATAAAGCTGCCTCTTTATCCAGAAAGCTCTAATTACTCATAATTAATAACCGCTCAGTGTCTCTATTTGTTCATTTCTGAAATCTGGAATTGTTTTGATTTAAATTTCATAATCTCAAAATGCTGACAAAGATAGTTTCCTTAAAAATATGAAATGACTGGAAAAAGAATAGCATAATAAACCCTATAAAATGGTAAAGCAATGATAATTACTGGTTGATAAGTTATTTATAAATGTTTTAATGCTCTACATTAACTTTAAGTTGTAATTTCAATGTTTCCTCTACATACAAGGCTCTAATGAAAAAAGTATGGGTCAATCAATTCAAACAAGGCAAGGTAAATATTCCCTATTTAGGGCTTTCACTTCTATAATGTCCTTATTATCAGTTTCTTTATCATTATTCTCATCAAAACCAATTCACTCACTTTTTTTTCTAAAATAATACTTAATGATTCCCATTTTAAGAACATTAATGAATCTTATTAATCATTTGTTAATGATCGAGAATAGTACTAACTATGCTAAATATTAGGTTACAGATAATGTGATATATGTGTGTTTATATATATAAAATCAATGATGTATATATTGTTTTTCATATTATACCTAAATATTAAAATTGTGCTATCTCACTGTTTGTCTAAAATAAACAAAATAAATCCAAAAAACCAGATATATCTTCCTAAGTCAGCATTTTAAACTTCAACATTTGCAGCATGTTGACTACTTCTGTTTTTACTTTGGGAGAAATGTGATTTGTTTTTCCTTTTGTAACATATTGAACTATATTTCATATTTTGTTAGGTTCTTACATTGGTAAAGTTCATAACAAAATCAGGGCCATAAATCTTTCAGAATGAATGTAGGATTTAACTGTTAAACATCAATAATCATGCTGTTAAACTCAAGTTACTTCCAGAGTGTTTGACTGATTCTCTAGTCTTAAAAAACTGTGATTCAGTGTTTGATTTTTTTTGTTTTTCTGATAAATTATTTTCATTTGCTCTAGCTGAACCCTACAATAGCACCTAATTTATCAGCTTTGCTACACTACAAAACACAACTAGTTGGTAGTCAGAAGTGCTATTTTAACTCAAGTTTTGCTGTCACTTATTCGTGTTTTAAATTTGTCAAACATGACAGAAAACAAATAAGACTGCAAAGAGATGTCTAAAGGAAAAAGAGTGCAAATTTTTTTGTGCATGATGTTAAAATCTGTTTTAAGAATAAAATGTACACCAACCAAAAAAAGATGTCTTCTGTCCAAGAAAAATAACATGTGAGGATTTCTTTTTAAATAATACTATCATAATTTTTAAAGAACAGGCAGTAATAAGAAAGGGAGTTCAAACATAAAATAAAAACATTTTTATTAATGAGGACAGGGCTATAACTTGTATCAATGAACTGTCTGTTTTTATAAAATCTACCACATATATTTATCTTTTTATAAAGCATAGATAATAAAATATCTATTTTTCATATTTTAAGCCAGTTAAATATAATTTTTTCAGAATACTACTTTAAAATGGTATCAAAAGGGATAAAATTTAATTCATTAACAACATATTTACATCAATTCTTCCACTTTCTACCCATAATTAACAGCATGAATTATGCTACTGGCATGCTTTGGGAGATCTATAAGAATTGCAAAGGAGCCAGGCACAGTGGTTCACACTTGCAATCCTACCAACTCAGGAGGCTGAGGTGGGGGGATCACTTGAGGCTAAGAGTTTGAGACTAACCTGGGCAACATATTGGGACCTCTTCTCTTAAAAAATTTTAAAAATACATTAGTCAGGTATGGTGGTGTGCACCTGTAACTACTGGGGAGGCTGAGTTGGAAGGACTGCTTGAGCCCAGGAATTCCAAGCTGCAGTGTGCTATCATCATGCCACTGTACTCAAGTCTACATGACAAAGCAAGACCCCATCTCTAAAAAATAAAAAATAATTTAGAAAACAAACTTTTAAAATGAAGAAATTGTAGGAAACCCACTCCTACTTCACCTGTTCTTATTTCAAAGACCAGTGAGAGACATTTCAGGAACACCTATGTTTCCTGAGCAATTGGTATGTTTTATTGTAAGACACTAAATCTTATACATAATTGTATTTTCCTTTGGATATCATGAAGCACCCCAAATGATTTCTGATCAAACAATACCAACTCTATAGGAACAGAAAGTACAAGCTTTTTTGTTTTGTCCTATTTGGCATAAACTGTTTCCTTAGTTTTATTTTATTTTCCCATCCTAATTTTCTCTTACACTAATTTCCTCAACTACTGATTTTATCCTAGTAGATTATTTACATTTTTGTTAGTCACTGCCAGTAATTCTTTTTTGGAATAAGAAGGAATATAAACACTCATTCTCATTTTATAGATGTCAAAGAAATTAAATAATTTACATTTTTGTTACAGGGAATATGGCAGACTAGATTTCTGGAGAAAATTTTATGATAAAGCACATTTCAAAATTATGAATAAGCAAGAACATCATCAACTAATGACTTAAAATTTATGACAGAATTGTCAAGGAAAATAAGGAAAATCTTAAATGCTAAAGCCAAAAGAGAAAAAATACAAAGACATAAAATAATAAATAAGAGTTTTAAAACATGGAGAAGAAAATTAAAACTCTTAATATATGCCTATTCAGAGTTATTACTATATGAAGAGCTAATAAAAGGAGACAGAGGCAATTTTTAAAAAGAAACCTTCTGTGAATTTTCCAGAACTGATGAAAGACAATACTTCTCATATTCAGAAAAGTCAAAGAATCCCAACCAGAATAAATGAAATCATCTGGTACTGCACAATGTAATTGGAGAACATTGAGGAAAAAAAAAAAAAAAGATCTTACAAGAAGCTAGAAATAATAGATTATTCCAAACAAACACTTCCCAACTGCAACAATGGAAGGCAAAACATGTTGACAAAAAGACTGTCAACCTAGCATTGTTATAAATTTAGCAAAATTATTTTTTGAGAAAATATAAAATATGAGTTTTTTTGAGACAAAACTGAGAGTGCACTATCAATAGAGCCTCACTATTTAAACCATGGACATTAGCTAGAAGAAAATCATCCAAAAAAAAGTCTAATAAGTAAAAAGGAATGGTAAGCAAAGAAAATGTTTAAGAAATTTATAAATCTATTGAAGTATGATCCCAATATACAACAGAAATAAAACACTAAAAAACAATCATATTTAAGTTGGGATAAAGTGACCAGAGTTACAGCATTCTAAATCACCGTATTGTATGGAAGGATGGCACATTAAAATTTAGTATAACCATTGAGGGAAAAAATAAGTATAGAATAAATTTTCCAAAACAGAAAAAAACCCAGAATTTTTTTAAAAAGGGGAAAAATGAATCTAAAAGAATGCAAACAAGGGTAGAGTAGAAGGCCCTTGGTCACAAAAAACAGCAGGCCAAACAGCAGGCTAAACAGGAGATTTTTTTTTTTTTTTTTTTTTGTTTTGAGACAGAGCCTGGCTCTGTCACCCAGGCTGGAGTACGGTGGCGCGATCTCAGCTCATCGCAACCTCCAACTCCCTGGTTCAAGTGATTCTCCTGCCTCAGCCTCCCGAGTAGCTGGGATTACAGTCATGCGCCACCATGCCCAGGTAATTTTTGTATTTTTAATAGGAACAGAGTTTCCTCATGTTGGCCAGGATGGTCTTGATCCCCTGACCTCGTGATCCGCCTGCCTCGGCCTCCCAAAGTGCTGGGATTACAGGTGTGAGCCACCGCACCCGGCCCAAAGAGATTTTTAAAAAATGATATTAATGAATCCAAATAAATCAATAATTTCAGTAATTGATTACTTTAAAACAACTGCTTAAACATTACTTAAAAACAACAGCTAAAAATATGTTTATATGTTAATAGTTAAACATATGTATATATATTTAAAAGTGGGCACCTAAAACATAAGGACATTCAAAGTTAAAAGGTAATAGAATGAAAAAGGTAACCCTTTTTTAGTAAACCTCAACAAAATTTAAAGCAAAAAGTATTACAGGGAAAAAAGCATCACTATCTATTGACATAATTCTAAGTATCTTTATATATAGATATATAGATACTTTGTCATTAAAAGTAATGGCAAAAACTGCAATTACTTTTGCACCAACCTAATACTTAAAAACACAGATGTTGTAGATAATAAAATTACCAGAAGATACAGAGAAATAGAAATCTAGTATTATGTAGGACAGTTAATGTGGGTTTCTCAGCAATTGGTAGATCACATACAGAACACATATAGAAAATTTGAACACAATCAACAAGCATGACCTAAGGGACATATAATACATCCAATATCTGGAGAACAGACAATCATTTTTTGTAAAAAAAATTTAAGTTTCGGGATACATGTGCAGAACATGCAGGTTTGTTACATAGGAAAATGTGTGCCATGGTGGTTTGCTGCACCTATCAACGCATTACCTAGGTATAAAGCCCAGATGCATTAGCCATTTATCCTGATGCTCTCCTTCCCCCAAGTCCTGACAGGCCCTGTGTGTGTTGTTCCTCTCCCTGTGTCCATGTGTTCTCATTGATCAACTCCCACTTATGAAGGAGAACATATGGTATTTGGTTCTCTGTTCCTGTGTTAGTTTGCTGAGGATGATGACTTCTAGTTTCATTCATGTCCCTGCAAAGGACATGATCTCATTTCTTTTTATGGCTGTATAGTATTCCATGGTGTACATGTACAACATTATCTTTACCCAGTCTATCATTGATGGGCATTGGGTTGATTCCATGTCTCTGCTATTGTGAATAGTGCTACAGTAAATATATGCATGCATGTATCTTTATAATGGAATGATTTATTATCCTTTGGGTATATACCCAGTTATGGGATTGCTAGGTCGAATGGTATTTCTGGTTCTAGATCTTTGAGGAATCGCCACACTGTCTTCCACAAGGGTCAAACTAATTTACATTTTCACCAACAGTGTAAAAGCAAGAACATTCTTTCAAGCACACAGAGAACATTTAAGAACATCAGCCACGTATTAGGCCATAAAGCTAGTCTTAGCAAATTTAAGAGTTGATATCACACAGATCATATCTGACAACAATGTAATTGTTAGAAATTGGTAAAATGTTACCAAAATTAACCCCCTACACTTGGAAATATGAAAACACATTTCTAAATAACTCAAGGTCAAGTAAGTAATTTTAATAAAAATTTAAAATACTGTGTTCATGAAAAACCCATATATCAAAATTTATAGAATAGTGAATGGGCAGTTAATGAGATTCTGGAGGAATATTATAGTAGCAAATCTTATGTTAAAAAGAAGCAATGCTAAAAATTGAGTAAAACTTATAAATTACACAGTTAAGAATATAGATGAAAGCTATATATAACAATAAGGGGAAACAAAATTTAAATAGAAAACAGATACAAAAGAGATCAGAGTTTTTAAAAAGCCAAAAGTTGGTTCACTGAAAAGACTAATAAAATTAAGAGATTTCTTACCAGATTAAATGGTAGATAGCTAATGGTAAAATTAAAAATGGAAAAATTTTATTTTAAAATTCTACTTTTAAAGGAAATTACAGATACAGAAAATACTAAAAGATGCCATGAGATTATTTTAAACTTTATACCATACAAAGTTGCAAATTTGGCTAATAGAGAAATTCTTAGGAATATGTAAATTAATAAAACAATCTCAAGAATGGTGGAGTTTTTCTAAGTGGGGCTATAGTTGGTCAAAAAATTAAATTAGAAGTTAAAAATACTATCTCAAAGTAAATCTCAGGCACCAACAGTTTACATGTTAAGTTCTATTAGCATTCTTTAAAACAAATAATTTTTTCAGAGACTAGAAAAATGAGGCAACATTTTCCAAATAATGTTACAAAGGCTAGTAAAAATTTAATACCAAAGAAAATGTAAATTCAAAGACCAGTCTTACTCCTGAACACAGATTCAAGAAATAAACATCAAACATTTTTAAAAAGATATACAGGATGACACTGAATATATGGTTCAACCATAGAAACTATATTTCATCACATAAATTAAGGAGAAAAAATATATAATCTTCTCAATATTTAGAGGAAACACGGACAATAAAATTCATCAATAAATTCTTAACAAATTACCCCTAGCAAACTTAGCAAAGATTTGGGAGATTGTTATAATAATAGCCTTCGATAAATGATGCGTTCCTGCAATCACATCCTTTGCAATGTAATGTTCTTCTCCTCCCATATCAAGAGATATCTACTTCCCCACCATCTTGAATCTGGACTGGATTTGCTTTGACTAACAGAATACGGCAAAAACAATATGTAATTTACAAAGCCTAGACTTCAAAAGGACATGCAGTTTACTTTCCGGACTTAACCCTGATATACCATGCTAGCATCTGGTAGACAAAAGGCCACATCAAGAATCAAGTCACCCTAGCTAATAGCCAGCACCGTCTACAAACATGAGTAAGGACATTTTGAACCTTCCAGCCCAGTCAACTCTCCAAATAAAGGCAACCTTACATGTAAGCTTAAGTGAAACTAAAAAGGAATAATCCAGCCAACCCACAGAATCATTTAAAAAGCAGAAAACATTATTACTTCAAGTCACTAAGTTTTGGGATAGTTTGCTGTAAAGTGAAGACTAAGGGAAGCACTGGGAATATTAGAAAACTTCTTTAATTTATGGACTAAATGTCCATAAATATGGACTTAATTTATGGACTAAAATCCATCTGTTGAGGCCCTAACTCCCATTATGGCTGTGTTTGGAGAAGTGGCCTCCAAGGAGGTAATTAAGGGTAAATGAGGTCATAGGGGTTCGGGGCCTGATCTGATAGGATTTGAGTCCCTGGAAGAAGAGACACTGGAGACCTCACTCATTCACTCTCTGTGCACATGTACAAAGGAAAGGACATGTGAGGACCCAGAAAGAAGGCAGCTGTCTACAAGCCTGGAAGAGCAGCCTCACCAGAAATTGAGTATGCTGTACCCTGATTTCAGACTTCTAGCCCCCAAAACTGTGAGAAAATAAATTTCTGTTGTTTAAGCCACTCAATTTGTGGTATTTTGTTATAGCAGGCCAAGCCAACTAATACAACCTGATAAATGGTATCTATAAAATGAAGCAAATATCATAATAATAAAATGTTAAAAACCATTCCCTTTAAACTCATAGCAAGGTAAGGATGCCAACTAGCTCTATGTTTATTCAACACTGCACATATGGATCTACCTATCCCAAGAAGACAAATAAAGACAATTAAATGTCTAAGAATTATAAAGGAAAAATACTAAATCATCAGTTTTCTCAGATATTACAATTTGCAGAAAAAAACAATTTATAATACTTTTTATATTTACAATATGTATCTTCTGTTTTTGAAATGAATAGAAATTCATTAAACAATATTATATTTTTAACTTCAGCCCAAATATTCTATTTTAATGATTTGGGGGCCTCAAAAATATACTTAGGCAATATTCTCATCACCCCTTAATAGTTTCATGCTCCCTGTGCATGCTTGGCCATGTACAATGATGATGTTCAACTGTGTCACCAAACACATCAAGATGTATCAAACCATATAAAATTTCCCTGCATACATAAGAATCCATATCCCCCCAAAACTACATACCAACATGTTAAAATGAGACAGGAGAATATGCAGTGGTTTATCTTTCTAATGTTAACATATGCAGGATAAAGGGGGAGGCGGGAAAACTTTTCTTTGTATTTCTCATGTCTCTAAAATATATTTATGCCAGTCACACACAAGACCAAATTGTAATTTATGTTGGTGATTTGTGAGATGAGATTTCACTCAAGATCAAAAGTGAAATGTACAGGCACCCCTACCATGTTAAGAACTCACATCATCATTTTTCAAGGTAATATGACATTAAAAGCCTGGAAATAAATCTCAGAGGATCTGCTAGTTAGTGCAATTTTAACATAAGCAAATTGAGAATGAACCTGTCACCGAAGTGTATTTATTATAAATTCATACTCACACAGTGAATCTATCAGTTTTCAAATACTGAGCTATATTATTTGCAGTACTAGGCTGACACTTCATTATAAATCACATATATTCATATTTTGTGCATAACTGGTTAATACTAAATAAGATCTGGTATTAATTACTATATGAAATGCTGTATCTGCCTTGAGATGATACTTTGTCGCACCCTGAATAATTAGTGGCTCTAACAATCCTACCTACTGATAGTAAAAATATACTTTTGTTATTTATCAAAATACAAATAAGACACACGGAACATATAAATGCACTATATCATGTATATACACAACGAAATACATGTAAGACCTCATCTTTCCTAATACATTCATCTATTTATTTTTTAAAATAATATCTATTATATATCACATTTGAAAACAGTTTTGCAGTTAATTAAAAGATTAAACATATGCCTGTCATATAATCTAGCCATTCCACTACTAGGTATTTGGTCAAGGGAAATAAAAGAATATGTTCATATGAAGATATAAAATCAATGTTTAAATATTCACAGCAGCTTAATGTAGAAGCCTGCATTAATCCATTCTCACGCTGCTATAAAGAAATACCCGAGACTGGGTAATTTATAAACGAAAGAGATTTAACTGACTCACAGTTCTGCATGACTGAGGAGGCCTCAGGAAACTTACAATCATGGTGGAAGGGGAAGCAAACATGTCCTTCTTCACATGGAGTAGGAGAGAGAAGTGCAGAGCAATGTGGGGGAAAGCCCCTTATAAAACCATCAGATCTCGTGAGAACTCACTATCATGAGAACAGCCTGGGGGAAACTGCCTCCCATAATCTAATCACCTCCCATGAGGTCCCTCCCTTGACACATGGGGGATATGGGAACTAGAATTCAAGATGAGATTTGGGTGAGGGCACAGCCAAACCATATCAGAGCCCCAAAATGGAAACAAACTAATATCTTCAATGACTAAATGGATAAACAAATTGTGGTATATTCATAAAATGGAATACTATTTAGCAATAAAAAGGAAAAGCTCCTAATATACATAACACAGATGAATCTTATGATAATTACACTGAGTGAGAAAGAAGCCATAAAGAAAACCGAACACTTAACTGTATTGTCCTTTTATATAAAACTCTAGACAATGCAAACTAATCCATACTGATAAAAAAGAAATCAGTGGTTGCCTGGGAATAGGGCAGAAGAAAGAGGAGGGAGTGCTGAGAGAAAACTTTTGGGGGTAATGGGGATGTTCACTATCTTGTTGTGGCGATAGCCTCAAAAGTATATGCATATTTCAAAAATTACCAAAATATACACACTAAATATGTGCTGTTTACTGAATGCTAATTAACCCCAATAAAGCTGTAAAAAGTAAAAAAAGATAATTACTAAAACAATGTTAGGTAGTTTACAGAATTATCAGGAAAGTCAAAAATTGGGCTAGGGTCAGTTAAACACTGGTTATTCTGGTGGAAAAAGGAAAGGAAAACCTGATAGTGCCACTGAACACAGAAGCTATGGCTTTTCTATCACCTTTGCCTTCAGCTCTGGATGTTACCAGGAATTAGAATTTGCTAATTAGTGTTAAATAATAAACATTTTTCATCACCTCGAAAATTACCTCTTAGTACTTCGCAATCCCTCCCCCGTCTAATCTTTCCTCCCCTATCACTAGGCAATCACCGACTTCCTTTTTCTCAGTGTAGGTTAGTTTGCCACTGCCTTTCAAGAGAGCAAAGAAACTGCCTCTTTGATTCACTAGTTCCCTATCCAGAAACTGGGGTTGGTGCCTGGCATGACTGTTCTCTAACTGTGAGGGGGACTTGAAAAGTGGTTGCCATTTTCAACACTGCAGTAATAGGGGATGCTGCCTCCCCCGCAAGACTTTTTTGGAGAAAAGTGCTAATAGCTGTGTAAAAGAAAGTACTAAAAGGTGGGTGACAAGGTCAAGAACATACATGTAAATATCCACGACATTTTAAAAACTTTTAAATATTAATTTTACTATGAACATTTTCAAAGATACACAAAAACTGATTTTTATTATGAACATTTTCAAAGAAACCCAAAGATACCCACAATGTAGATTCAACAACTGTCAACACTTTCCAGCACTTGCTTCATTCATCTCCCTCTTGTTTTTATTCCTTAAGCGTTTTAAAACAAATCCCAGACCACGTGTTATTTAATTCCTACATACTCAGTATGTATCTCTAAAGAAAAAAAAAATGATATAACTACTATAATGCCATTACTTCTCCCAAGAAACAAAAATTAATTGGCATCACATAATACCCAGTCCATATTTAAATTTCTCTGACAGTCTCAAAATTTGTTTTAATTGAATTATTTAAATCAGGATTCACAGAAAGGTCATAAATTGTTATGTATTATAAGTCTTATTAATATAGAGAAGCCCTTCTCGCTTGCCTCTTTTGCCTGCCATTAACCTATTGATTAAACTGAGTTCGTTATCTTGCAAACTGTCCCACATTCTGGTTCCAGTGTTGTCATTTAACTTGTTCTTTTATACCTGTGTTTCCTGTTAATGGTAAATTAGTTCTAAAACTTGATTAGGTTCAGGTTTACTCTTTTTGAAAGAATACTTTTGGAAATTGTTCTTCATATTTCATCACATTAGGAGGCACATAGTGTCTGAATGCCTCCTCTTTGTGATGCAAAGATTGATCACAGGGTACAGGTGGTGACAGCTTATCCTTCTCTTGCAAACACCCCCATCAACCTTCCATCTAATGGATTCAACCTTTGATAATAATTGTCTGAACCAATTATTTTATTAGAGTTTGTGAAATAATGATTTTTCAAATTCCATCATTCCTGCCATATTTATTATCTAGAATTATTCAATAAGGAAGAGTTGTATCAACTTTTCTTTTGTTATCTTGAAATATAATTCACAAAGGAAAGATAAGTACATAGTTCTTTCCCTTTAACTGCATTTTCAAAAAGACACTTTCATATCTTACTAAATAATAACCTAATAAAAGTTTGAAAATCAAGTCTATGATATTAGTAAATACATTATTTCTACATAAATATTAAAAAGGAAAAATATAACATCATTATGTACATTACAAAATGAAACAGACTGGTGATATCCTTCAGTCAACTTGCTTTTGTCTAACGGTCTTAGAACTCAAAATATGAAAAGTATTCAAATTCAGATTTGCCTACAATTAGAAATCAGAAGTTATTACACTGTGTATAAAAGTACAAATACATTATCTCTTTTTGCTGATGTTGCCATTGGCTAAGTTGTGGCTAAAAATATGCTCTTGAAATATGGGATAATATATTCAAATAGAGTATATCTGAGAAAAAATGGAAACTTAAGCTTTCCGATTTCAGAAATGAATTTACCAAGAACTTGTGACTTTTCTAATAACTGATGAAAAACCATTTGAGTCAGGATAACCACAGCTGCTGAATATGAGTAACCACAGCTGCTGGGTTCATAAAAGCCATTCGATGCAATTATGCTAAAATTATTACACTAGCAATTAATCTTCAAATCTTTGGCAATAGAAAAGTCATCATTACATTTTAAGAATAAATCTAACAGGTTTTTAAAATTTTGCCATGAAATTGCTATTGAAACTATGAAAAAATAATACAATTCTGGAACTTCAAAGTATGTTTAGAAGAAAATAAGTGAATATGTAGCTAGCACATAGAAATACGTAGCTCTTATACAAAAACATATATAACTTTTACAGAACTAAAGCTAATCAGAAATTTTATTAATAACAATTGCCTCCCCAAACCTGCTACCATTTTGAGCAACAGCATTAGCTACTGCAACTGTTTTCTAACATCTCTCTTTGCTTTAAGTCTTACTCCCCAGTAGTCTATTTTCTAGAAAACATACTCTGCCAGAGTAATCTATTTACTTTCATGGCTCACAAGACTTATGACCTAGTCCACCTCCACCCCAGCTACCTCCCATCCTCATGTCCCACCACTCCCCTTCTCCCTCACTGTGCTTCAGCCACATCAGCCTTATTGCTGTTTTTCCAATAGAAAAAGCAGGAGTGGCTGAAGAACACATGGAAAGATGCATACTGTCTCCACAGCAATAAAAAATGTGAATCAAGATCACAATGAAGTACCACTTTAACCCACCAGACTGGCAACAATAAAGGCATCCCAAAATACCAAGTACTAGTAGGATTAAAAGGATGCAGATATTACATACTGTTCGCACAATAGTGAATTAGTACAACCACTAAAAACAATTTGACATAACAATTCTATTCCTAAGCATATACTCTAGAGAAACTCTTGAGCTTATGCAGTAGGGAGACATAGCCACAAACGTTCCTAGTGGCACTGTTTCAATAGCCAAAAAAAAAACTGGAGTAACCCAAATGTCCATCAATAGGAGAATGGATACACAAATTGTGTTATATTTACATAATGAAATATTGTACAATAACAATAAAGAATGAAACAACAGCCAAACCAACCACAATAATGAATCTCAGACAAAGCTGAAGGAAAAAAGCAAATCCTAGGACATCCCTTGCAACACTGCTTTATAATGTTCGAAAAATAAGCAAAACAATATGTTTTTGGGCACAAATGCATGTGTGAGAGATTGAAAGAATGCATGCACGTAATAGAACTACTAAAAAATATGTAAAACCACAAAAAGAGTTTTAAACAAAACAGAATGGTGGGGACTTCAGCAGAACGGGAGGGAGACTGGATAGAAGAAAATCACATAAGTCGATGCAAGTTATGGTAATATCTTAATTCTTGGGTTAAGTTATTGGTTCATGGGTTTCATTATATCCTCACACTTGTAATGTTTTAATTACTCATTAATATATTAAAGTTACATATATTCTTTTGTATATATTAAGTGTTATATTTTGAAATGATAGTAAAAATTCAAAATCAGAAGAATACACATAAATATACTAAGAAGTCTTACAAAAACAAAGCAGGTTAAGGAGAATAAGTGGAACTAAGTGTTGGGGGAGGTTGCTATATTATACAAATGCTCAAAAACAGTCTGTTTGGTAAGGTAACATTCAGAGACCAGAAGGGAGTAATAGACTAAGCCATTCAGATACCTAGGGTATGAATGTTCCAGACAAAAGGAACAGAAGGTATGAAGGCTCCAAGGCAGAAGCTCAAGGGAAGTGTAGCAGGTGTGGCTGCAACAAAGTGAGCAAGAGGAAGATCAGAAGACAAAGGCAATGAGGGAGCAGAAGGCCTGAGCCTGGAGGATCTCATAAGTCTTTGTAATGAATGCATTTATTCCGAATTAGATGGGGAGTGACTGGAGGAAAAACGACTATTTCTGTTACTGTCTATACAATACGAAAATGTCTATCCTATTATTAGAATATTTTGTTTCATGGATAGAGTTGCACTGGTTTAAGACTATGAGGAAGTCAGCCCAGAGACTCAGTCTTATTTGCCTCTATCTAAAATCTCTACAGAAAGATTTCGTGTTTATGTAAATGTTGATTCAAATGACTCTTAAAACATTTTTCTGAGTCACATAGGGTACTGACAAGATGCACCAAAGTCAAAAGGGTCTGCACCAAAGTTTCACAGTGTTTATCTCAAATTGCTCTAGAGATTCACTGACTCCTAAAAGTGATGGAGTAGTTTTGCTGAAGACTGTTCTAAGAACTGTACTTTATCATTTCCCTGAATTTATTAATTCCATAAATCACAGGTAGAAATTGTTGAAGTGTATAGTCTTAAATAAGATATGCAATAATATGACACTTCTCTTATAGCCATGAAACCAAATCACAAACTCAATATAGGAAAAGCACTTTTTGGGGAGATTTGTTTGTCTAAATGGAAGCACAAAACTGGCAGTTACCAAATTCCAGAAAGTCCTAAGTTCAAAACACTCATTTGAGGAAAACAAAGTTTTATTTTATTTTATTTTATTGATTGACAAGGTCTTGTTCTGTTGCCCAGACAGGAATGCAGTGGCATTGTGTCCAGAGGTGGTTTTGGAAGAGTGACGCCTTTTGTCCTCACTTCTCGTCATATGAATAGGAAGGATATAATTTCTGAGGCTCCCCACATCCTAGCTTCAGGAATAGCTTTTGTTAGGCCTGCTTGCCTGAGGGGGGATCCTAAAATTCCAGATAGTCTCCCCACCCCCGATGGGGCTTTGGGCAAAAATTATGTCTTTCTGATTGGTGGGCCTGGGTGCCTAAAGGAACAGAGTCCTGAAATTTATACTAGAAATCATTCTTATAGGAGAAACTAGAAAAGCACCAGAGACAGGGAGTGGTTTTTAGAAGCGAGACTAGCCTTGGAGAAGAGAGGTGGGAGGAAGTTTGTCTGACAGGCGTTAGGACCCATGAGGCAAGGGTCAGGATATACAGGATAGATGGTCGAGTTGCGCTTGGGCGACTTAACTTTGAGAGCTCTGCTCATGGCTGCAGGGTCAACGAAACTTTTGTCGGGACCTCAGAGCTGAATGGCTTTCCTCCCTGTCAACCCTCGGCTCAGCCCGGAAGAACAGCAAAAGCAGAAGCTAATTCCAGGCAAACCAATGCTCCCAACTCCAAAGAGTCAGGGGTTGTTAGCCTTTTCCCAGAAAGCCTGATACCCATGTCTTTAGTCCAGTGGCCGTGCTAGTCACTTTTAACTGGCCAATGGGTGCCCAGTGTTTAGCCCCCAAATTCTAAGGAAAAATAGGACAGAATAGCAAGCAAAAGGGGTCCCATAGTACTCACCACTTGGCAATATCCCAGACAAGCCCCCAAGATATGTCTGGAGTTGGTTCCTTCCAGTGGGTTCCTGGTCTCTCTGACTTCAAGAATGAAGCTGTGGAACTTTGCAGTGTTACAGCTCTTAAAGGTGGCACAGACCCAGCCAGGTGCAGTGGCTTTGGGAGGCCAAGGCGGGTGGATCACGAGGTCAGGAGGTCGAGACCATCCTGGCTAACATGGTGAAACCCCATCTCTACTAAAAATACAAAAAAAATTAGCCGGGCATGGTGGTGGGCGCCTGTAGTCCCAGCTACTCAGGAGGCTGAGGCAGGAGAATCACTTGAACCTGGGAGGCGGAGCTTGCAGTGAGCCGAGATCACGCCACTGCACTCCAGCCTGGGCAACAGAGCGAGCCCCCATCTCAAAAAAAAAAAAGGTGGCACAGACTCAAAGAGTGAGCTGCAGCAAGATTTATTGCGAAGAGTGAAAGAACAAAGGTTCCACGTTGTGGAAGGGGACTGGAGCAGCTTGCTGCAGCTGGCTGGGGTGGCCAGCTTTTATTCCCTTATTTGTCCCCGCCCATGTCCTGCTGATTGGTCCATTTTACAGAGTGCTGATTGGTCCATTTTATAGGGTGCTGATTGGTCCATTTTACAGGGTGCTGATTGGTCCATTTTACAGGGTGCTGATTGGTGCATTTTACCAATCTCTAGCTAGCTACAGAGTGCCAATTGGTACCCTTTTTACACAGCACTGATTGATGCATTTTACAAACCTCTTGTAAGACAGAAAAGTTTTCCAAGTCCCCACTCAACCCAGGAAGTCCAGCTGGCTTCACCTCTCAGCATGATCACGGATCACTTTAGCCTTGACCTCCCAGGTTCAAGTGATCCTCCCACCTCAGCCTCCCAAGCATCTGAGACTATAGGCACATGCCACCACACACAGCTAGTTTTTTAATTTTTTGTAGAGAAGGGGTCTCACTATGTTGCCCAGGTTGAAATAAAAATGTTTCAAAGAACTGAATTTCTGGAAATAGCCTACAATGGAGAGAACTGAAATAATTGAAGAAACCTTGGTTATACTGCAGAGCTTATTGTTTACAAGTGCACAACATTAGGAACTCAGTATCTAAGTTTGGAATCAATTATTTCTAAAGTTCGTTCCAGGAGTACTTTACTAAGTTTGTTAAATTCTGAACCTATAGTCAAATGAGAAATGTGACTCTATTTGGGCCAGATTTTAGAAAAGAATCAGATATACAGATTTGATGACATTTAGGATACCAAAATTAGCAATTCTTTACAGTTTCTTCTAAGTACAGATACTCCAAAAATTAAGGGTGCCTAAGAATTGCCCCAAAAGTTTGTAAAAAAATATAGATTCCAGAGCCCCACTTTGAGATAGTCTAATTTTACAGACCTGGGATAGAACTTAGGAATCTACCTTGTAAACTAACTTCCCAGATAATACTAAGTGGCCAACCACCCACACTTAGAGAAATTGTCCAGATTTTAATTTAACTGGAAAGGCAATTATGACAGTTTAAGGATTACTTTAAATAATCTCAATCTGCAACTGAGGATTTAATAACTGTTAAATTTTAAAAGGGGGGGAAGAAAAGAAAAAAGCTGTTAAGTGATCTGAGTTTTGCTTTTACAATCTTATGGAAACAAATTCTAGGAAAGAGAAATAGAAAGCAAGAGAATTATTTGAATAGTTTAGCACTTATGGATCTCCTGCCAAGATTTTGAATGAATCGATTCCATAAAGAAGTGAAGTATACAGATAGCAGCTGGGTGCTACAGTTAAATTTAACAGCATAGTTATGGGACACAGCAGCTTTCAAAATAATCAAGTACACAGCCTTGTCACTTCTTTGCCTGTATCACTCTGGCTTTAAAAAAAGGTTCCACCAATCATGTTACAGCTTTGTGTTCCTCATTGATTTTATATACTTAATGCCCAAATTCTGCTTGGAGTTTTAAATCTCTAACCTTTGTAACTATTATAAGCTTTCTTAACCATTCATATGGTCATATTCACTTCTTTACAACTATAATTTGTTTTTTTATGCCATTATTTGTTTGTTCTTGGCAGAGTGAATCAACTGTTCTAGCAACTACCTCACCTCCACCAGCATCAATGGCCAGTGCAGCTATTACATTTTGAAACTGCTGGCCAGACAATAGTTACGAAAGGTGTACTAAAACACGGCCTCACAATCCAAGAGTTTAATATACTACCATGAGTTTCAGATATCCAGGTACCAAGGTATTAAGATGAGCAACAAACACAAATTCTACTTAGTCTTTTAATCAATATTTACCATAAAATGTGACAGGCCTTTGAATAATACTGAAGAAATGAACAACTTCATTAAATACCAAATTACCTAATTATTTTTACCCAATATTTTACTTGCACATAAATAGTTTAGTCTAGCAATAAAGAAAGTTTACTGCTGTGAAGAATTACTGAGGATAGAAGCTAAAGATAAGGCTTCATAGGCAGATGACGTAACTAAAATATTGATTTTAATGTCAAGATTTTCTCAATGTCAAAATGTCACATTTTCGTAATTTTGCAAATCTTTTATTAATATATTTATCTATCATTCAGGCTTCCCTATCTGTAGAATGCAAAGAAAAAAAAATACATGTTTGTAATTAAGATTTGACTTTAGACAAGGGCAAAGCAAGATGACCAAATAGAACCCTCCAGCAATCATCCCCCATGCAGGAACACCAAATTAAACAACTATCAACACAAGAAAACACTATTTTAAAAACAAAAAAATCAGGTGTGCAATCACAGTATCTAACTTTAACATAATAACAAAGGGAGAGGCATTTAAAAGGGTAGGAAGGATAAGCTAGGTAACCTTGCATTACCTACAACATTCCTCCCCCAAACCCAGGCGTCATAGCACTGAGAATCTATGTGTTTGGAAGAGCAAGAGTGAAGTGAGTGTGGGATACTGCATTGGAACTCAGTGCTGCCCTATCACAGTGGAACACAACACTGGACAGAATTCTGCCAGTGCTCACAGAGGGGGCAAACAGACCATCCCTGGGGCAGAGGGAAAGCATCCATCGCCAGGAGGAGAAAGCCAAGTCTCAGCCTACTTCAGCAACTATGGAATAAAGTGGCCTGGGCCTCTAATAAATTTGAGTGGCAGTTGGGCCACAGCAACTATAGTACTTGGGCAAGCCCCAGTGCTGCACTGGCATCAGAGACTGGGCTTGGAATGCAATCCAGCACGACACTGGCTTCAGCGATGACAAGAGTACATGCATCGCCTCTCCCCCAACTCCAGGCAACGCAGTGCAGAGACTCCTTCCACTTGTGGGAAAGAGAGGAAAAAATACGTAAGACTTTGTCTTGCAAATGAATACAAGCTCAGCCACAGTAAAATCCAAAAACCCAAAAAACAAGGAGAATCCTAAAGCCTTCAGTTGCAGGTCTTTGCTCTTGAATGGTGTTTCTTGACCCACCCAGGGCCAGAAGGGAATCTACAACCCTGGTGGGATAAACTGACTCCCAGCAGAACTCACCACTTGATATGTGGCCTCCAGCCTTGAATAAACATCAGCAGCAGCCACATGGTGGTGGCCATGGGCCTTGGGTGACCCCCGGTGGAAGCTGCACTGATCTGGAAGGCCTCAGGCTTTCATGGTGTTCTAATGCAGTCAACTGTGCCGACCACAGGACTGCAGGTATCACCCCTCCCCCAACTCAAGGCAGCCAAGCATAAAGACCCCTTCCACTTGGGGGAAAGAGTGGGAAGAGCAAGAGACTCTGCCTGGGAACTCAGGGAATTCTGTCTTACCTTGCCCAACTCCACCAAGGCTATATATCTAAGGGTCTGTAGGGGTCACAGCATACCTGGGTTAGGGCACCTGGTAATGCTAAAATGGCTGTAGTAGCTACAGCTATGGTAACAACACTCAATTATATTTGAAGTCTTCAAAGTCCACTCAAGAAGGACAGGTACAAACAAGGCCATAACACAAAGACAGAAATAAATATCTAACACTTAAATGCCCAGACAATGATGAATGTCCATAAGCATCAAGAACAACTAGGAAAACATGACCTCACCAAACAGACTAAATAGGGCACCAGTGACCAATCCTGGAGTGATGAAGACATGTGACCTCAGACAGGAAATTCAAAACAGCTGTCTTCATGAAGCTCAACAAACTTCAAGATAACACAGAGAAGGAATTCTATCAGACAACTTTAAGAAAGAGATTCATATAATTTTTAAAATAAATGAAACAGAATTCCTGGCTAAAAAATTCAATTGACAAACTGAAAAATACATCAGTGTCTCAACAGCAGAACTGATCAGGCAGAAGAAGAATTGGTGAGCTTGAAAAGAGGCTATATGAACATACACAGAGAAATTGAAGAGTACACAAAAACATGGAAAGATATCCTATGTTCATGGCTTGAAAGAATTAATTATTGTAAAAATGACCACATCACCCACATTCAGTGCAATCCCTACCAAAATATCAATGACATTCTTCACAGAAATAGAAAAAAAACTCCTAACATTTATATGGAACCACAAAAGATCCAGAATACCTAAAGCAATCATGAGCAAAAAGAACAAAACTAGAGCAAATCATACTTCCTGACTCCAAAGTATACTAGAAACCTATAGTAACCAAAATACCATGGTAGGGGCATAAAAACAGACACATAGAGCAATGAAAGAGAACAAGGAACCCGACTATAAATCCACACATTTACAACCAACTCAGCTTCAATAAGTGCCAAGAACAAACATTGAGGAAAGAACAGTGTCGTCTACAAATGGTGCTGGGAAAACTGGATAACCTTATGCAGAAGAATTAAACTAGACAGCTGTCTCTCAACATATACAAAAATCAAAATGGATTAAAGACTTAAATATAATACCTGAAACTGTGAAACTACTAGAAGAAAACATTGGGGAAATGCTTCAGGACACTAATCTGGACAAAGATTTCTTGAATAAGACTTCAAAAGCACAAGAAACCAAAGCAAAAATGGACAAATGGGATCATGTCAAGCTAAAAAGCTTCTGCACAGCAAAGAAAACAATCAACAAAGAGACAATCTGAAGAACAGGAGAAAATATATGCACACTATTCAACTGACAAGAGATTAATGACAAGAATATATAAGCAATTCAAACAATTCAATAGCAAAGTAACAAATAATTGGATTAAAAAACAGGCAAAAGATCTTAACAGACATTTCTCAAAAGAAGACATGCAAATGACCAACGGGTATAGAAAACAATCCTCAACATCACTACTCATCAGAGAAATAGAAATCAAAACCACAGTGAGAAATCATCTCACCCCAGTTAAAATAGCTTTTATCAAAAAGACAAAAAATAATGGATGCTACGGAGGATGTGGAGAAAGGAGAATATTCATACACAGTTAGAAGGTAAATTAGTAAGCTACTATGGAAAACAGTATGGATGTTCCTCAAAAAACCAAAAATAGAAATACTATATTGTCCAGTGCCAAGACCAGCTTGGTCATAGAGACCCTAACCCAGCTGTGCTAGAGGAATTAAAGACACACACACAGAAATATGGCATGTGGAGTAGGAAATCGGGGGTCTCACAGCCTTCAGAGCTGAGAGCCTCGAACAGAGATTTACCCACATATTTATTGACAGCAAGCCAGTGATAAGCATTGTTTCTATAGATTTCAGATTAACTAAAAGTATTCTTAGGGGAACAATGGGATGGGCCAAAATAAAGGGATAGGCTCTGGCTAGTTATCTGCAGCAGAAACATGTCCTTAAGGCATAGATCCCTCACGCTATTGTTTGTGGCTCAGGAATGCCTTTAAGCCATTTTCTGCCCTGGGTGGGCCAGGTTTTCCTTGCCCTCGTTCTGGTAAACCCATGACCTTCAGCGTGGGCGTCATGGCCATCACGAACATGTCACAGTGCTGCAGAGATTTTGTTTATGACCAGTTTTGGGGCCAGATTTGGGGGCCTGTTCCCAACAGTCCAGCAATCTGGGTATATATCCAAAAAAAAGGAAATCAGTATATTGGAAAGGTATCTGCACTCCTGTGTTTATTACCAGCAATCTCACTGCTGGGTATATACCCAAAAGAAAGGAAATCAGTATATTGGAAAGGTATCTGTACTCCAGTGTTTATTACAGCACTATTCACAATAGTCAAGATATGGCATTGACCTAAGTGCCCATCAACAGATGAATGGATAAAGAAAAAATATGGTACACATAAACAATGGAATATTATTTCACCATAACAAAGAATAAAATCTTGTCACTTGCAACAACATGGATAGTACTAGAAGGCATTATATTAAGTGAAATAAGCCAGGTACAGAAAGACAAATACTGCATGTTCTCATTCATACGTGGGAGCTAAAAAAGTTGATCTCATGGAGGTAGGAGAGTAGAATAACAGTTACCAGAGGATAGGAAGGGTGTGTATAGGGGTTGGGAGGGAGGGTAGGATAAAAAGGGGTTGGTTAATGGGTACAAAAATACAGTTAGATAGTAGTAATAAGACCTAGTGTTTGGTGGCACAACAGGGAAACTATAGTTAATAATAATTTATCGTATATTTCAAAATAACTAGAGAAGTAGATTTGGAATGTTCTCAATGCAAAAAAGTGACAAATGTTTGAGGCGATGGATACTGCAATTCTCCTGATTTGATCATTACACAGTGTATGCTTTTAACAAATATTATATGTACCCTATAAATATGTACAACTACTATGTAGCCATAAAAAATACAAAACAAGAGAAGAATACTTTGCCAATTACTTTTGCCTAGCAAGAGATCTTTTTTCTTTCCCCATATAAGAAGGTTATGTGGTAAGTGAAACCTTTATGGAGAAAAGCGACTGAATCTCATAACACAAGTTATTTACCCTTGCTCTCTGAGTGTGTCATACAGGCATGAACCAGTATTCAGTAACACATTTAAGTTCTAGTTTAGTAACTTTCTAAAGATGTGATCTTGGGAAAAATAAAAACCTCCCTGGGCCTCAATATCCTCACGTATAGAATGAGTTTGACAGTAACCTCTCTTATTCTGAGAGTTAAGTGAGATAATTCACATAAAATGTTTACCATAAAACCTATTACAGGGAGCACAAGAAGTATAAAAATCATTATCATCATCATAAACACAGGTTAAAAGGATAACGCCACATATACACTAAAAACTAATGAACTGTATATGGGAAAAGATAAAATCACAATTTTAAAAGAGATTTAAGTGAAGCTATCTGGAATAGTTTGGTTTGTAATAAATGTAGTAACCGTATTTCATATAATTCTAGCAATATAAAAATTATATGACTGTACTTAGACTTAAAGAGATTCCTTGTACAGGTTCCCATTTAAAAAAACAATTCTCAAAAGCATATTTTTCTCCTCTCTGCTAATCTCATGGCCAGAAGCCAACCAAACATCCTATTTTTCTCCTTCATTCCTAGATCAGAAAATTTCTAACAGCTTCTAACTTTTCCATATTTCTACTTTTGAAACTAGTAGAAGCTTCTGATTGAAACATTCCATATAAACCAGGGCAGGCAGCTCTGTTATGTAAAAACTTAAGGGACCAGGAACTGTATAGTCATTAAAGAGGTTAGAAATATATGTTTATCAGTCTATCAACTTGCATGTTGCCTATTCCTCCCATTCCCTCATTTCTTCTTTTTTTTCAAAGGGAAATGTCAACACTGACCTACAGAAACAAATTTTAAAATGCTGATGGATGCTTTTAAAATGCATTATTGGATGCTAAATCAAAGAAATGCCATGACAAAATAAGGGACATTGAAAAATACCTCTTGAAGTCATTTTCCAAAGATGGTATTTTAATCCATGAAAGCCCTAATACATATGGTAATCATGGGCAATGTATTTTGCTAAACTGAAGAAATTATTCCAAATTCTTCAAGGTGAATAATTAAGGAACATTTGGTTTCTCTGGTGTTTTTTATTTGTTTAAAAAGGTTCATTTTACAGCTGAAAGTTGCAGAGAAGATTACTAGAAAATACCCTTCTCTCTGCAGCATGTGGAAAGATTACTCCACAGCAATCTTTGTATTCTGCAAAACTATCATACTGTAGTAGTCTACTGTGGTCTTTGTTCTACAAGCAGTCAATTCTATCATGAAACAAAAATCCTCTCTACTTTAATTATTAAGAAATTTGCTTACCAGAACATTTTCAAATTTAAATGGGCATTTCTTGGGTACTTAATATGTTCAATTGCTGGAGTATATCAAAATCTTCAAATTTAAGACACGTATTTATATGTTATTTATATTGATGTTACATATTAGATACCAATACTGAACTTTGAATTTATTTTAAAAAGTAATAAAATGCCAACTAAAACTGTTTTTGGTAATAAAAATGGTTTTTGTAATTAAAAAAAACTTCATTACATGGAATTGTTAGAATGAAACCAAATTTTACATTTGATATTTATAATTTGCAAACTGATTTATCCAATTTACAATTGATTTACAATTTATAATTGATTTACAACAGATATTCCTTGTAGCCAAATTCTGTTCTACCCTATCCGTGCCAGAAATACCTAAATTTACCCCACCATCCTTGCTTGCTTTTTTTCTTTACCAGTAGAATCCTCAATGTTTTACTAGTCACACAGCTACCTGGTGAAGAGACTAGAATAGATTATTGTGTTTGCCTCAGGAATTAACAGAGATGGAAAAATTTTAAATTAAGATTTTATTGTATCTCGATTTCATTCAAATCATTAAATTAGTAAGGATATTTTCAAAGGTAAAGTTGGCCCATATTTTTCTGACTTTTGTTCAAAAATAACAAATTTTACACCATTTCTTTCCAGGCAACATGCTGCAAGTGTTCTTAGCCTAGAGAATGTGCCATCACTGAATCGTTATTAACAAATGCAAACATTTAAAGGAAAAATAAGAATTTAAAAGAAAGAGATAAAACAGCTAAATAAAACCATGATATTACTGAACAAAAGAAACCTCCTAGAGTTGAACTTATTACAGATGTTTTCAACATCTAATTTCCACTAAAAGAGAAAAAGAAATTTCTACATTAAAGTTAATTTTCTATGGTCCTTAAATGATTATGATGATAAAATTTTCTATTAACTTTCTTCTATTTATTGGATTTTTGACAGATAAGATAAATTAGAATTAAAATATATCCTTAGAAACAACTTATTGGTAAAATCCACCAAATCCATATCCCATTAAAAAATAGTCATGTGCACCCATATCCACAACCATGCATGCACTTCTTCCCATGAATATAGGCTTTCCTGTTGGGGAGGCCAGTATAGTAGAACTGAGTTTCAATGACACATTTAAGGTTTTCAGAAGCCTCCTTTTCAAAAACACATAAGGAGGTTGAGGTGGGAGGATCACAAGGTCAGGAGATCGAGACCATCCTGGCTAACACGGTGAAACCCCTGTCTCTACTAAAAATACAAAAAGTTAGCCTGGCGAAGTGGTGGGTACCTGTAGTCCCAGCTACTCGGGAGGCTGAGGCAGGAGAATGGCATGAACCCGGGAGGCGGAGCTTGCAGTGAGCTGAGATTGTGCCACTGCACTCCAGCCTGGGCAACAGAGTGAGACTCTGTCTCAAAAAACAAAGAAACAAACAACACATAAACCTCATAATAATTCTACTTTTTTTACACACACAATTTTATAACAATTCAACTTTGAATTCAAAAATATGGAAATACTTTTATAATTGCTATGTATTAAAATTATAAACAGAAAGTTATTTGGCTTGTAAACATTCAAATGTGTGTTAATATGTAATTATAGCTCTTCTGTTTGAAGAACTTCCTGTAACAATCTTATAAAGTCTGCTGGCAATAAATTCTGTTTTATTTAAGAAAGATTTTTTTTTTTTTGAGTTGGAGTCTTGCTCTGTCTCCCGGGCTGGAGTACAGTGGCATGATCTCGGCTCACTGTAACCTCTGCCTACCAGGTTCAAGCGATTTTCCTGCCTCAGCCTCCTGAGCAGCTGCGATTACAGGCGTGTGCCACCACACCTGGCTAATTTTTTATATTTTTGGTAGAAACAGGGTTTCACCATGTTGGCCAGGGGGATCTCGAACTCCTGACCTCAAGTGATCTGCCCGCCTTGCCCTCCCAAAGTGCTGGAATAGCAGGCGTGAGCCACTGTGCCCAGCCGAGAAAGACTTGACTTCATTTTGAAAGATATTTTGCTGAGTTAGAATTTGTGGTTTCCAGTTTTTTCATGTGGCACTTTAAAGTTACCACGATTCCATTATCTTCTGACTTGAATGGCTTCTGAGGAAAAAGCTGCTCTAATATTTGTTTCTTGTATGTGGTGTGTGTTTCCCCCACAATACTTTCTCTACCCCGCTGCTAGGGTCAGTATTTCAGTCTTTTTCAGTTTTAATATTTTATGCCTGTGTGTGTTTGTTTTTTAAGAGAGGGTGAGGTGGTGGAAATTTATCCAGCATGGTGTCCTTTAAGCTTTGTGGATTTGTGAGTACTAATTATACAATGGTTAGATGGTTTGATTTTGTCTCCCAATTCCTGGATGCTTTGTTCTATTTTTTTTTTTTTTTTTTCCCAGTTTTTTTCTCCTTATGTTTCAGTTTGGGTAACTTCTATTGCTCTATCTTCAATTTCACTGATTCTTTCCTTGGTTATATCAAGTCTATAAACTTGTTGAAGACAGTCTTCATCTCTGTTACTTTGCTTTTTATTTCTAGCACTTTCATTTTATTAATTCTTATAGTTTCCATATCTCTGCTAAAATTAAACATCTAATCTTGCATATTATGCTTTTTCATCGGAACTTTTTTTTTTTTTTGAGATGGAGTCTCGCTTTGTCACCCAGGCTGGAAGGCTGGAGTGCAGTGGCACGATCTCGGCTCACTGCAAGCTCCGCCTCCCGGGTTCAAGCAATTCTCCTGCCTTACCTTCCTGAGTAGCTGTGACTACAGGCACGTGCCACCACGCCTGGCTAATTTTTTGTATTTTTAGTAGAGCCGGCTTTCACCGTGTTAGCCAGGATGGTCTCCATCTCCTGACCTCGTGATCTGCCCACCTCAGCCTCCCAAAGTGCTGGGATTACGGGCGTGAGCCACTGCGCCTGGCCTCATCAGAACTTTTAACATAAAAATTGTAACTATTTTAAATTTTCTGTTAGGTAGTTCCAACATCTGTGTCTTATCTTATTCTGGTTCTCTGGATTGTTCTGTCTCTTGGAGTGGTACCTTTTCTTGCATTTTCATATACTTTGTAATGTTTTCTTGAAAGCTGAACATTTTGTCCAGAGCAGTAAAGACTAAGGAAGTTTTAAAGCTTACAAATGCATATAACTTTCTTTCTGATAGGCCTTTAGGGATTTGTGTTAAATGAGGAGTTGGGCTGGATTTGAGGGTGATTTTTGCAGTGCAGGTTTCAAATTCCTCTGAAGATAACTTTTATATAAAGCAGGGGTCTACAGATTCCTTTTACTTAGGGTAGGGGCAGAGTTTTATGGACCCCTCCCCACAAAATAGCTGTGTTTCTCTCCCCAAGGTTTCTGGTACAAAAAAAGCTCCTGAGTACTCTCATCAGGTAAGAGCCATGGAGAAAAAGCCTGTAAGGGGGTAAGAACACCTATATCAGTTGCCCTCACAGGCTAGCAGCCTACACTTGGCCTTGACCAATGTATTAACTATTAAGAATTTATTTTTTAACTATTTATTAACTATTAAGAATTCTAGCTGAATTCTTAACAGTGCCTAGGTATGCCATATGCCCCAGGTAAGCAAATGTTTGTGTTGTGTCACTTCTTTTTAGGCAACTGCATCTCCTTAGATTTCATATTTTTGCCCTGCAATTTCATCTCTGAGAGGTTCAAAGAAAGTTATAAATTTGCAGTTAGTCTGGCTTCTATTGTCAAAAGAGTAGAAACAATGCTCTTTCAAGCTCTCTAAATCATTGAGGTTTACTTATTATTGACTACAACTGCCTTCCTTCTTCCACTCCAAGTATGATCACCAGCAAGTAAAGACTACTAATATTCCAATGTATGAAATCCAGTGAAAGATGTATAGTTTTTGTCTCAGTGTCTGACTCTGCTGGTGCCACATGCTGCTTAATTAGAAAGATAAAAGTACTGTGACCGGCCAGTTTCAGTACAAGAGGAGGAGGGACATGAAGGAGATGAAGAGAATAGCGTTGTCATAAAGGGACCTACTATTTACTAAGTGCTATTTTAACTGTTTTATTTATTTGGGGAGACAAAAGTTAATATACATAACACATAGAAGATATTGTCCTATCTGGGTAAATAAAGATATATATTAATGAAAATAGGTTAGAGCTTTAGTTATTTAAAAAATTTATTGTTTAGTTTTCATTTTCTGAAACAAAAGTCTGTTTTAACCAAACAAAAAGCTGTAGAAACTACAATTACGTTTTTAATTTAAAAGAAGCAAAATTTCAAACATTACTAAGTCTGAAGTTATAAGAGAAGTATAATTTCTGCTTTAAAGATTTCTTCAGAAGAACTTAATTTAGCTTAATTTTAAAGTGTTTCTCATTTACTCAAACTGTCTTGATTGCACAAATTCGTACAAACATAACACAAATGATCTAATTCATGCAAAAAGTTTTTCTTCAGCAATGAAATGAAAAGTACATATATTTATTCAGATATAAATTCACAAGATACAAACTTAGTAGAATACATGTTTCTATTTTACCACTTACGTGGCAGTGGGACTTTTTCTACACATTTCTCTCCCCACTAAACTGAATTCCTTCAAAACAGGGACTATTTTTATTCACCTTTACATTCCAAAACCTATTCTAATATTATATTAGAGGCAAATAATGTTGGATAGCTGAGATAAATAAAAGTAAAAAATACCAGAGGATCAATACAAATACTTCAGGAGAGGATAAGCTTTGGACTGGGTATTGAACGAAGAATTTAAATAAGCAAAAGCAGTGGCAAGAGTAATTCTAGAAAAGATATAAAGAAATACTGAAATACCTATAGCCAAAAACGCTAATAGCAAAAATATTTTAAGATATTTTTTCAATCAACTCAAACAATATTTATAGTTGCTTTAAATGTAAAATACATCTTTAAAACAAAAGCAATATTCATTAATAGAAAGTACCAAGGACACTAAGGGTACCATCAGCAAACAGGTACTGGCACACCACCCCACAACAAAAAAAAGAAAAGGAGAAGAAAAATACATGCTCTACCCTTGAATAACTCAGAATCCTGTAAGAGAGTACAGAAAAAAACATGCTTCAGTTTCTTCTAACATCAGTAATAACAATTTCTCCCTGAATCTTGTATTCACATTAGATTACTTACATTTTGCCTTTAACTTTTATTGGCAGAGACAGAGGTTCTGGTCAGTGTCAAACTTCCTAAATTAATCACCTATATTCATTTGCATCACTTTTTCACCCACTTTCCCTCCCAAACTACTGCAATTAGATTTCTATCCTCCAACATTCTACAGAGATGATTCTAGAAAAGATTTTGAAATACTGAATAATGCCCAATTCCTTATAACTTAGCCCTCCTCTTCCACTCCCTGAACAACCAGCATCACTCCCTCCCATCACCTGAAGACTCTCTTTTAAAGCTCTTCTGCTTGTCTTGTTTTCTGAATGCAGATCACTCTTGCTAAAATTCTTTCAAAGATTTTCCCATCTTCAAGTATGTGTTAATCATAGATATTTCCCAGGATACTACCTTCAGGCATCTTTCTTTTCTGTTTCATCCTTCCTAGCAATCAATCTCTAATTCTCACAGCTTCCTCTGTCACAGATGTACTTCTTTTTTGTCAAATCTTTTTTATCATATCTACATCTGAAGTCTGTCCTACGTTTATTTAGTCTATGTTCCTACTAGACATTTCCAAATAGATATTTTATGGCAACTCAAATAAACATTATTGCATGGGCAATTCGAACTAACATATCAAATTTATCTCTCCCCCTCCTCACCATCAAAAACAAAACCCAAAGTCTCTTGCTTTTGACTTTCACATTTTGGTTAATGTAACATCCCTACGGTAATTATAACAGTGGAAAAGTTGAGGAAAAGAGTGTATTAGCTGATGTGGTTGAGAATGCCATGTGGTGTGTATACTGCAGCAGGTTACAAAAACAAAAAAACTGCTAACTACTGACACACAGCATCTGTACATAAGTATAATCAACAATTTGCAGTAGATAGATACAACTTGTGGTCATTGCCTTGAATGTATGTACTCATTTTTGGCCTTCATATTTGTACAAAATTGGTTATACAACTTTGGCATTAGCCTGTCCTTAAAAGCCCAAATCATCAAATACCTGATGCAATATCAGTTCTTATATCCCTGAATTTGTGCATGATAAATAATGTTTTCTAATCTACTTTTTGTTAAGTACATTGACAGGCATGGTGTCAAATCAAACTTTGTAGTATCTGAATATTTACTTTCAAATAAGGGTGTTTAAATGTGGCTTGGAATGAAAAAAATCTCTAAATATATAAATTCTATTAGTTCAGTTGCATATACATCTTTATAATTTGAAAAATAAAACGTTAAAATGATTGAAGCACTGTGAAACCCTTTTAAGTAAAAAATGGTAATTAAAAAATAAGTACTCAAGTAAATAAGCAGTGAAACAGACTGACAGTTAAAATACAAATAAGAAAATAAGTGTTAACCAAAAAACCTTAGGAAGAATTTTATCTTCGTTTCATCCCAAAAGTATTCATAAAAATTGGAATACTAAGGCAAGACAAACTAGTAGAAATTAGATCATATTACGATAAATTTGGGATAATTTTTTGCTATATTCGAGTGAGTAAAAAGTAAAATGAAGTCTGGGTTGAATCAGGACAATCTGGGTAAACAACATGGGCGTCTATCTTCTCATAGTACTATTTCCTTAGAAACTACGTAGTTAAGATAAGGGTGGAATGTTTTATCTGCCTAGTTTGTCATGAAACCCCTGTTCCTTGGGACTCCACTTAGCCTGGGGAGCTGTGTGTTGGTATACAAGCACTGGACTTTTGTAGCTAACATGAAATAGAAGATTGGTGGGAAACTAAGGCTACAGCTTCGCAGTACCAAGATGACCCCCACATCCTTGGCTCTTGTCAATGGCCCAGGAGCAAAATAAGTTCTGTATATAGGTAGCTGCTTTGCTTGGCCTCCCTGTAAGATGAAGATGCTGAACATTCTGTATTTCTTCTCCTGTATCTCTAAGTCTCTAAGGCTGTATCTGCTCTATCTTACCCTATTACCTTCATTAGATAATTGATCCAAACTATGCTAAATCAGATTCCCCTAGAACCTGAATGATACTGAGACTAGCAGTTGCAGAAGCCATGTTCTGTTAATAATAGAACTTTCAAGAGAAGGTTTTGAACTTCTATTGATAAGGTTCCCAAAGCAAATCCTTTTTTGGAGCCTATGAAATAACTTTTTATTCTTTTAATAACCTTTTAATTATATTAACCTTATTTGCTTAAGTATTGTAAAATTTTATGTGAATATTCAAATATATGTATTATACACACACACACGTATGTATTTGGGTAGAACTTGAGTTTAAACATTAAAATAGAGAGGGCTGGAACAAGATGGCTAACTAGATGCAGCCAGGAAGAACCATTCCCACTGAGAGATACCAAATTATCAAGTAATCCAACAAAATTTGGGCAGATCTTGGGGAAGAAAACACTACCGAGAGTGGATGGAGAAGTGACGCTGATGCTCAGGGTGAAGCGGGAGGAAGCTGGAACCCTGTGTGCCTTAACATAATGCTCGGGGCTGTTCCCGGCCCCAAGCAACTCCTGAGGAAGTGATGAGTGAGGAGACTGAGGGACATCTCACCCTCACCTTGGACCTATGGAATCCTAGCTCAGCGGACCCCGCATCCACCATGGATGTGTGAGCTGGTGGAGGATCTGCCTGGAGACTAGGCAGAAACAGTGCTTCAGCTGCTGTGGAGCTCAGGAGCTTTTGTGTGCAGGACAGCTGTAGTAGAGTAAGGCCCTAAGTGCCCATTCCCCCAGGGGTCCTCATCACCCTCCTAGAGGCTCTAGCATCAGCTGACTGCCAGGCCAAGAGACAGCAGGCTGGCTTCCCCCACAGGATTGGGGCACATCTGTTCTGCAGGCCTTCCCACTGCCGAGCCCCTCCATAGCCACCCCGCAGGATCGTGTGCACAACGCAGCCTCCACAGCCCTGCCTGAGTGCTCCGCACTATCTGAGTATTTTCCAAGTAACCTAGGGGCACTTCAGATCCCCCAGTGCTGCCAGAGTCTGACCCCAAGCCAAGGGCTGTTCCAGTGTCCCCGGAATGCGGTCTGCAGCTCAGGAGTACCGAGCCCAGATCTGCGGCCAACACTGGAGCTGGGGAGAAGCGCCCACCCTCAGATCACTGAGAGGGGTGGGACGTGCAGGTTTGTGGGCCAGCACAGAGGCGGTTCGTACGTCCCTCCACAGGGCTGGCCCAGAAAGCGTATGGCCGGCCTATCTCCCGGATGCAGCCTGTCAGAGGGAGCCCAACCACCCCGAACACATAGCAAAAGAAACCCGGGGAAGGAGCCAATGATCAGAAGAGGCTCACTCAAAGCCAAGGACGGGGCCCTGGTGAGATGATTTTATTCCCCGCCCCTCCCTCTACTCCCAAGAACGTGCCTGCGAAAACAAGGAAATAACAAAAAAACCACAGGGCTAAGTAAGAGCCTATCTACCAGCCACTACTCCTAAGCGCCATCTATTGGACTGAAGCCCAAACTACAACACTAAACATTATTCTGCTAATAGATGCCGGAAACCAAGAGCAAGAATTCACCCACAAATAAAGACACTGTACAGAGCCTTGGCCCTCTGAAAGCGCCCCAAACCAAACCCAACTGAGTGCACCCAACTTGCATCAGAGTTAAAGGAACGCCAGCCCCACCAGATGAGAATCAGAGAAAAAACTCTGGCAATTCAAAAAGCCAGTGTCCCCTTACCTTCAAAGGAGCCCACTATACGCCCATCCCCCGCCCACCAGCAACGGTCCCTAATGAGACTGAAATGTCTGAAATGACGTAGAATGCAGAATGTGGCAAAAAAGCTCAACAAAATTCAGGAGAAAGTTGAAATCCGATCCAAAGAATCCAAGGTATCCAGTAAATCAATCCAAGAGCTCAAAAATGAAACAGGCATTTTAAGGAAGAACCAAACTGAACTTCTGGAATGGAAAAATTCACTACAAGAATTTCATAATACAATCAGAAGTATTAACAGCAGTATACAGGTGAAAGATCTCCACAAAGAGAACTATGGAAACAGACACATAAACCAACAGAACAGAATAGAGGGCCTAGAAATAAAGCTACACACCTACAACAATCTGACGATCTTTGACAAGGTCCATAAAACAAGCAGTGGGGAAAGAACTTCCTATTCAATAAATGGTACTGGGTTAACTACCTAGCCATGTGAAGAAGATGGAAACTAGACCCACTCCTTCCACCATATACAAAAATCAACTCAAGATGGATTAAAGACTTAAATGTAAAAGCTAAAACTATAAAAACCATGGGAGACAACCTAGGAAATACAATTCTGAACATTGGCCCTGGCCCAAAAATTTCATGACAAAGATGCCAACAGCAATTGCAACCCAAACAAAAATTGTCAAATGAGACCTAACTAAAGAGCTTCTGCAGAGCAAAAGAGACTATCAACAGAGTAAACAGACAACCTACAGAATAGGAGAAAATGTTTGCAAACTAAGTACTCAACAAAGGTCCAATGTCCAGAATCTATAAGGAACTTAAAGAAATTAACAAGCAAAAAACAAACAAGCCCATTAAAAAGTGGGCAAAAAACATGAAGAGATGCTTCTCAAAAGAAGACATACATACGGCCAATAAACATATGAAAAAATATTTGACATTGTGATCATTAGAGAAATGCAAATCAAAACCACAATGAGATACCATCTCATGCCCATCAGACTGGCTATTATTAAAAAGTCAAAAAATAACAGGTGCTGGCAAGGTTGCAGAGAAAAGGGAATGCTTACACACCACTGGTGGGAATGCAAATTAGATCAACCATTGTGGAAAATAGTTTGGCGATTTCTCGAAGAACTTAAAACAGAACTACCATTTGACCCAGAAATCCCATTATTGGGTATATACTCAAAGGAATATAAATGGTTCTACCATAAAGACATATGCACATGAATGTTCACTGCAGCACTACCCACAATAGCAAAGATATGGAGTCAACCTAAATGGCCATCAATGGTAGACTGAATAAAGAAAATGTGATACATAGACAACATGGAATATGCAACATAAGAAAAGAACAAGACCATGTCCTTTGCAGCAAGGAAGTGAAGGAGCTGGAGCAAGACCATGTCCTTCACAGCAAGGATGGATGGAGCTGGAGATCATTTTCATAAGCAAACTAACACAGGAACAGATAACCAAATACCACGTTCTCACTTATAGGTGAGATCTAAACACTGAGTATACATGGATACAAAGAAGGGAACAACAGACACCAGGGCCTACTTGAGGGTGGAGGGTGAGAGGAGAGGGAGGATCGAAAAATTACCTGTTGGGCACTATACTTATTACCTACGTGATAAAATAATCTGTACACCAAACCCTTACGACACACAATTTACCTATGTAACAAATCTGCACATTTCCCCTGAGTCTAAAATAAAAGTTTAAAAAGAAAAAAAATCAGAAAATCAAATATTTTAAAAAATATATTTAAAGTAAAACTGGAATGTGTTGTGAAAATAAAATGTTTAAATAAAGCTTGTGGGGTCTACAGTACTAAATCAAGTTTAATTTTGTCTCCTTCAGGCTCACTAGCAACTTTTTTTGAAGGTAGATCTTTTTTTTAGGTTACCTGAGAACTGATCATGCGCTGAGATGAGCGAGCGATATTGGCAGGCAGACCAAAGAAACTAGGTTTGTCGTCCTCTGGAATTTTCTCAATGACAGCACGATAGTCCTAAATATAAAGAAGTGAAAAACAGTTTTTTTAAAAAATAAAGATTGAACTTACAATCATTGAAATAAGAAAGAATACTTTGAAATGTTCAATTATTATTTGTATTTTTATTTTCTAGATAAATCTCACTTTGTATGATATTAACTCAGTTATCTGTGGGAAGTATTCTGTCATTAATACTTCTTCACACTTCAATTATTTGATATTATATTTTCTTATCATAACTCCCACATACAAAGGGACTCCGAATTATTTACAACATATTTGAGTGATTATGCCTACTATATGTAAGCTACCATGTTAGATGTTTTTAGGATAGCTCTGTAATTTTTTTCCTATAACTTACCAAAGACCAATCTGCAGAGTGCAGTTCTGCTCATGTTAAATTAAGCAGTTATATATATATATATATATTTATATATTCAGGCAATCTACTTTTGTTTCTTTTTAACTTAGAGAAACCTTGTAAACGTGTAGAAGCACTGCTTTGTAAATTGCTTTATAATAGAGCAATTCCAGTTAGTCTTCAGTTTGCTGGTGAGGTGTGATAAAATGCATTGATAATCCTATCATTTCATCCTAAGAATTACCCTACACATTGAATAAGCTTGGCTTGTTGAGCATTCATTTCAACAGTTACTCACTCATGACTTTAAATCAAAAACTAAGTGCAGGCAAAAACACTTATTCAGTTTGGCCTAAACATGGAAACTGTTTTGTTTTCATGAAGAGAAGTTATTTTAAGGCAAGTACTGCACGTGCATCTAAACCGTGTTTGCTGAAGTAGGCATGGGAGACTTGGCCTCTGACTTCCCCTCATCCGTTCTTATCCTTGGCAGCTGACCCTGAAGTATTTCCAAGGAGACAGTTGGACTCCAGGAAGTCCGGGGCCTGTAAATATGTCACATTTTGGAAAGTCATGCTGTTCTTTGAAATTCTTCCAATCCTTTAGCTTAGCATTTGTAAACTTCCTCAAGGTATTCAATCACAATATATACGTATAAATGTATATGTACATGTACATGAGTGTATGTTTGCATATATGTGTGCATGTATTATCGTGGGAAACATTCAGTGTCTTTCATCTAACTCAATTAGAAAGCTAAACAGTGATTGTCATAAGTCATCCTATAAATTTAAAAATATTTACTCTTTGTAGAGTTATACACTTTGCTTATTTCAAAATAGCTATGAAATCTTGTCTAGACTGGCTAGAGTCTTCTGTCTATCTAGAACTATACAGTGATATGCTGACTAGTAACTGGCAGTTACATATTCAGACTGATTTACCCTTACTTGTACATAAAAATATATATATACCACGTGATATAATTTATATAAACAGCACAAAAACAAGAAAACTAGGCTGTTAGAGTTAAGTATAATGTACCCTTTGTGGGAGAGGTAGTAACTAGAAGGGAACATAAGGAGAAATTCTGGGAAGCTAATAATACTCTGTTTCTTGACCCCAGAACTGGCTACACTCATGTGGTCTATGTATGAAAATTCATGGAATTGTGCACTTAGGATGTATACATTTCTGTATGAATTGTATTTTTCAATGTAAGCTTCTAACAATAGAGTTGGAAAACTTGTTGGGGTACACTATCTGAGTTAAATGTATAGTAATTATGCGATATTCTCTATTTATTCATTCCCTCTAAGGTTCTGCTAGAAGGTAAACTCCACAGGTGCATTACTATATCCACAATACCTAGAACAGCACTATCACTGAGCAGATGTTCAATGCATATTATTGAATGAATGAGTAAATTAAAGATACTAGAAACAAAACAGCATACTTAAGGTAATAAGTAAGATAGTCAGTAAGAGTAATATATTTAATAGTGATTTTTAAACTTTTATTTTTTGACAATTATGTGCCAAATGAAGGATTTTTCTTGAAAAAAATTTGGATGAAAGGAAACAGCACAAAACTGAGAGAACTACATAATTGAATAGATATATGCCTTTGTAATTCATGAAGAAATGTATAATTATAGTACTCTAATAAAGAATTATTTGCACACTTATACACAGATAGGTTTATGGCAAAATAAATCAAAATTGAAATCTTTTGGCTATACTTATTACTATTTTCTGGAAAAGATGAGTACATTCTAGGAGGCTTTCATGTGACGGCTCAAGGCAAAAAGCTACAGCTGGCTGAAAAAAATACACAAAATGTTGCTGTGAAAAACAAAGTAAATTCATTTTACATATTTAGACAAGCTTTAAGTGTACAAGCCAGAAACTGAAGACACATATTTATTAAATAATATTTGTCTTCTTTCATATTTTTCAATATATGAGAGTATACTCATGCCTACTATGAAGTGCATATTCTCCCACTTCAGCTTTTCACAGCAGTCCTACCTTATTTGAATTTTCTTTGGCCACTCCCTTCAAGATCTGTCTATATACCAGCCTATTATTATGATCAACCACCCAACTTTCAGTAAGTACTCAAAAGTTTTTAGGATGCCTCACTAAAGTTGAAAGAATCAAGCCATATATTGTCATAACAAATAATCCAAACTGTGAATAATTACTTGTGCATTTGAAAAGAAGTAACATGTATTTAACAATGTAAGAAATGATTCACGTATCTACCTGGAAATAGATTGAAAATCATTCATTTTACCTACCAAAATGCTGCAGGATTGTGGTAGAGATACGGAATATGGAAAAATGCTTTTCTTGTTCCTTTGGTTGAATACATCAATAACTGAAGAATTAAAAAACTGCTTCAGGTATGACTGAAGAACTCTAAGGTCAAAATAGTTGTCTATACGTCCTCCATAAATAGCATTTTCAAGTAAACCATGTACAAATTCCCATTGTACATCTTTGGCACCTATAATTTTAAAAAAACACTCATTAATTTCATTTCTAAAATATTAACTAAATTCCTGCCTTGAGTTATATTTATAACATGTAGCCAAATGTATTTAATACAACTAAATCATTTATTCAAATGACTATTAATAGTAGTAAATATTTGAGATTTTTTAATCAAGTAAAATTTTCCAAATATTTTACATGTATAAATTCACTTAATCCTTATAGCAAAGATAGAAGTATTAATATTATACAATTATACATATGGAGAAACCTTCCTAAGGGATAGGGAGGCTGAGGCACCAAAATGAGAAAGTTATACAATCTCGAAGATCTGAAATAGAAATGAGGTACTCTGAATCCAGTCAGATTATCTGAATTATCTGCCACACAATCCTGGCTACTTAAATTGGAAATTCCTTAAGAGAACCTATCCAAAACATAATTTTACACATTTGATGAAACTGTCAGTTTATAAAATAATCTGATTAACAGGGAAACTCTATGAAACACCTTCACACATTACACTCTTCTAAACGTCATGATTTTACATAGTCAACTATCCACTTTCTATTTTAATAGAAGAGAAATGTAATATTAAAAAGCCACAATGGAACTTTTTGTTTTTGTTTTTTGTTTTTTTGAGACGGTGTCTCACTCTGTCACCCAGGCTGGAGTGCAATGACGCGATCTCAGCTCACTGCTTTGTCCACCTCCCAGGTTCAAGCGATTCTCCTGCCTTAGCCTCCTGAGTAGCTGGGATTACAGGCGCATGCCACCACGCCGCTAATTTTTGTATTTTTAGTAGAGACGGGATTTCACCATGTTGGTCAGGAGGAACTTCTTGTATATTATTTCATTTTGCAACAGAAATATCCTTGTCATCACAATTTTGTGGTAATGTTAAAATGTAAGAATTAAATCTCAGATCACAGTAAATACAGGAGACACATAACTACATTTAAACTAGCTAATAAACTTTATTGTTAGCATTACTAGCATAGTTCCATTTCATTACTATAAAATTTAGAGATATGACAAAAATTGATTATCTACATGCCTTGGAACATAAGGGATTTAGGTTGCCTCCTGCAGGATAAGGGGACCTATATAGTGGAAGAATAAAGTTGTTATCTGCCTACATCTTATAGTCAACAGTGACTAAACAAAGGACTTCACCAGGACTCAAATTTCTAGTTGTCCTGATACTCACTAAATGATACCTTTATCATTTAGACAGTCACTGATAAGTTAGCCAGTCATTGATAAGTCATTAAGGAATACAGACATATTAGTGTATCTTTCAACTTATAAAACAGAAACAGCAGCCATTATGTGAAATATTTTATCGAATTTTTATAAGAAAATCTTATTTTTTTCTACCTATTTTTCTCAAAACAAATTTTATGTTGTTCAGGATAAAATAAAATGAATAGAACTTAAATTACAACAATAGCAATAATAACAGCCAACAATTACTGATAGCTTAACTCCACATATTAAATGTACTAAATGTTAAATGCTTCATGTAGCTTTTGTAATTTAAACTTCTGGATATTCGAATAAACTGAGATAGTGTCTACTATCATTCCTAATTTAAAGATCAGGAAACTCAGGCTTAAAGATTAGGAAACTTGCTCTAGGTCGCATGGCTATTACTCTCAATACCAATTGTTCCCAAGAGTTAGACCTTTTTCTCTTTTTTGGCATTTAATTCTATACATGTGGAAGTTCCTTCATGTCAGAAAATTCTGTAATCAAGATTTAACAGATTTTTACTCAGATTCAATATCATTTTAGAGCATCTGCCTTTTATTCAAAACATAATGGTGTAAGATACCTATTTATATATCTATGTCTTACAATGCTATTAATTAATTCTATCACAAACGTGAAACACAATGATACATCATTCAAATTCTGTTTTGCTTTTCTCTTTTGTGAAAAGGCACTAACACTAATAGCCTCATAGTGGTATTATAAAAGTCAAATAAATATTCAAAAGCATTTTGGAAAATTACCAAGTTTTTAGGCAAGCTGAAAAAAGTATTAGTTTATATCCTCCAAAAAAAAAATCTGTGTCAAATATTAAAAACAACAGTTCACGTAGTGCAGGAAAGTAGTTACCCATGTATGAGGTGGGGAATGTTGGGTCATAGGTAGAAAGGAGTAGGAAGAAGCCACTTCTAAAATACTGATAATGCTGTTCTTATTTTATTTTTTATTTTGGGCAAGTTACATAGGTTCAGTTTATGGAAAATTTATTGAATTGTACATTTATGTGTACTTTTCTGATGTAGAATTTTAAAAAATCTTTTAAACAAACAGAAAATTCTCTTGGAATACTATTTGGCATTAACTAGTAATGGTGAACAAATGCATAACCTGTGGCCTAGCAATTCTACTCCTACATATATACTCAACAGAAATATATCTATATATTCACCTAAAGGTATAGCAGCATTACCCATAATCATCCCAAACTCAAAACTACCAGCATGTCCATCAACAGAAATACATATAATTACACAAAGGTATACTGTATAGCATTGAGAATAAATGGACTACAACTAAATGCAAACACATAGCTGAATCTATCAAATATAATGTTAACTACAGGAACCCAAACACTAGAGCATATATGCTGTATGTTTCCAGTTTTACAAAAACAGGCAAAAGTAATCTATATAGTTAGGTGTCTGGTGTCTACCTCAGGAACAGGGGAAGATAAAGTTAGGGGATGGTAGAGGCTGAAAGGCAACATTACATGAGTAGATTCAGTGGTACTTATAATGTTCTGTTTCTTGATTAAGGTGCTGGCTACGTGGGGGAATTCAGTTTGTGGAAATTTCAGTGAGCCATAATCTTGTAAGTACTTTTTGTCCATATACTTCATTAAATAGGTTTTTTTAAACTTTAAAAATATATAAATTAAAATGGGACTTGGCCACATCCTAGCTGTCCATCCTTATCCTTTTGCCAAAGACAAGTTATAGAAAAAATTTCTGATGCTATTAACTGAAATAATAATTGAGTAACTATGATGGGCTAGGCACTGTTATAAACCTCAAGGATATACACAGTTAACGAGACAAAGATCTTACTTTAAAATAGATAATGCTCTAGTGGGAAGAGAAACAAAATAAGAAAATAAATGAATAAACAAGAAGATATCGAGGTAGTACTAATGTATTAAGACAATATGACAATACAAAGGGATAGAGAATGATTAGATTACTTCAGATTCAGCAGTAAGAAATCAATCTCCAGAAGCAATTCTCTTCTCAAGAGGATACATCCAAGCTGAGAAGTGAACAATAGGAAGAAGAAGGCCATATGAAAGTTTGGGAGGAAAGCATTTCAGACCGAAGGAAGAACACCTATTAAAACCTTCAAGTAAGAACAAGTCTGGCTTGTTTGAGGAACACAAAGATGCCAAATATGGATATAGGTTTTAAACAGGAAAATTATATGCTTTGGTTTGCATTTCTAAAAACTAAAGTTGTTTATGGTATGAAGAATGTTTGCAAGGGTGCTAAAGTGGAAGAAGACCAGGTAAGAAATTATTGCTTGGACTGCCAACACATTGGAAAATAAGCGAATAGAATCATGATGTGATTTGCAAAGGATAGAAATTGCCAAAGCACTGGATGTCTGAGGATGAGAAAAAAAAAAAGAATCCAAGGTGACTCACAGGCTTTAGCCTTGAACAACTATTAATACAGGAATGGTGGGCCATCTACTGAAACGGAGGCAGAATCAGGAAAAAGTATTTGGCAGGGTTGCAGGGTTGGGGGTGGGGAGGAGACAGGAATTGAGAGATTTGTTTGTGATATTTTTAAGTTTGAGATTACTATCAACATACTCTATTCTCTAATCCATCATTGGTCTAAACTCTAGTGTCCCCCTCCCTTCGCCCTGCACAATAAACTTTAGAGATTAGACTGTTCCTGTTTTCAAGGAGGCTGATAGCTAGATGGCCTTAGGGGGTCAGATTAAATGGCTTTATTTGCTGCTGTGTTTCAATCTATTATTTGTACCTTGTTTCCTGAATCCTACTTAGTAATTCAATTATGACTCCACAGATCCTTGGTACTAATCTTAGTCTGCTATACTCCTGAATTTTAACAGTTCCCCTGAAAGACATCTGAAAAATTCAGTTAGTGCCTGAAACTTTTGAAAGCCACAAAGTGAAAACAAGGTCTTTCTAGACTTCTGCTCCCAGAAAGAAGAATCCATGTAAAAACAGATCCATATAAGAACTCTGAGATAACACAGGTATAGAAGTCAAATAAAAAATAAAATAAAAAGCACAAGCAAATTTTGTGATAGGAAGTTAAGCCACTTCTGAAGAAAACATAGTTAATAAGACCTCAGATAAAATATTTTATTAATATGAGATTAAAATTTTTGTTAGAACTTACCATCAAAAAGTCTGTCAATAATGTTGTACCCAGCCCGAAGATCTGATAAAGAAAATTCATAAAACTTTGTCCAACCCTGTCAAAAAACAATTTTTTTAAGTAAACAACTAAGCAGTAGTCAAAGATATATATGTATGTATCACTGTCTTTAAATTAAATGATCAATATAGACTTAAAAATATATAACTCCTGAGAATTTTTAATAAAACCAACACATAATAAATCTAAAGTAACAGTAAACTTAAAAAAAATTAACTGGCCATAGCATGAAAAGTACTTTATAATACCATACTAGTTTTAGTTAGTTATGTGGCAACACAATCATAGAGAACAAACTGATATACTACATTTTTTATTCTAATTGCTATATATACATTGGGATATTTCCTAAAATTTTATCCTCCAGAATTGTGGATTTTCTCCACAAACATACAAAAAAAAATACTGCACAAAAAAAGGCCCAAAAGCTTATAGCAGTATATTCATTCATATTGAACCCACAAAGCATGCGTATCAGAACTAAATAAAATTATATAACTATAACTAATAGCTACAATGTTTGTATAAAATGAATATTCATAGAGCTCTATATTGTGTAGACAATAAATTGAAACATAAAATAATTTCTATATGGCTTCTATTGACTAATTAGTTCTAAGTAATAAAATAAGTTCAAATTAAAATATATTTAGACTTGGATATTAGGAATACTGATACAAATTTCATTCATTCATTCAACACTCAAAAAATATTTTTAAAATATGTATTATATGTCAGGCTCTGGGAATATAAGAATGAACAAAAAAATTATCCCTGCCCTCATGTAGCTTTCAGTAAAACGTGGGAAAGAGTGGGCTGGAGACAATCACTCAAATACATATGCAACTGTAAAATGATAATAACTTTGATGGAGAGAAACATTTAGTATGTTTCACACATATGAAAGAGATCTGACCTAATCTAGAGGAGAGGGAAAGTCACCCTAATGGGGAGAGGGGTGACATACAAAGATAAAAGTAGACAGATTTAAGAACTCGTTAGGAAAATAAAACTAACAGAATTTTTGTATTGGATTGTAATGGAGTATGAAGACATGAAAAAGAGGGCTGTTAAGAATGACTTCTAAGCTTATCGCTCATTCAAATTGATGATGGATGATGTCATTCTTAATAAGTGAAACACTGAAAGAATACAAGGTTTGGGAAGGAATATCATGAGATCACCAAACAAAAGCTTAACAAAGCATTTAAACAAACACATTAAACAAAAACATAAGTTTTGGACTGCTATATACCAGGCCATGTTTTCGTCAATTAAAACATAGCAATAAACAAGAGGCAAATATCTGTGCACTTGGGAAGCTTAAATTCTAGTGCTTGATCCAGAATACGTGAATTTTCAGACATGTTTGAGACATCCAACTGGATATGTCAACTGCCAGATATGCAAACATACAGCCTAGAAAATTGATCTGAGCTGTATGTGTAAATTTGGGGTCAATAGCATTTGGATACTTTTTTAAAAAAAGAACATTGTGGATATTATGAAAACAAAAGATTTAAATTTTGCTGTTAGCAGATTTAAGAATTAAAGATCTCTAAAGGATATGTACCCATCAACAATTAACAAAATTCCTCTAATATTTATCTAAACTTTCTAACAATTCAAAAGTCTTAATAAAATTTCTTATATCATTCTGTTAGACCGTATGTGAAAAAGTTTATTTTTAAAAAATGTTTAATACCTTGAAGATCAGTATTTTTAAAATCCCCAAATTAGAAAACCGTTGCTATCAATATTGCTTAATATATATACCTATGACATGTCTCTAATAAAAATTGTCTCTAACAATTCTATTGTTAGAGACCATGTCATAGGTATATATATTTTGTCTACATTTACCTCCAGTGTTATGATTTTTATGACAACAACAGTATGGTATGAAAAAAAGTGACATTCTCCAACTTTTTTTTTGTGGGAAAGTGAATTGCTGTATCCCCTATGGATAACAATTTGGTAATATTTACAGATTTCTAAAAATACATATATTCTTTGACCCAAATATTCCACATTTAAAAATTGACAGCTATAAATAGGTGTTAAATGAAGCATGCATAGGGATCTCCATTGCAACATTTTTTTATATTCACAAAAGTTGAAAAGAATATATATGCCCATCCAACAATCCAAAACTGCTAAAAAATTATAGCAATATTATGTAATACAAATAATATTTTTAAGTTAGGCATTAAATAGACACTGATACTTAACAATGTCAAACATATTGTTTTAAAAAGCAAGGTACAGAGCTGTGCTTGTAATATGCTACCTACTGTTTGAGTTATAAAGAACATAAATGCATATAGAAATTAATATGTTTGTGTATTTATACAATCTCTCTGAAGCACAAACAAGAAATGGTTAATAGTGGACCCTCTCAGAATAGAAAGTGGGTGGCAGGGAAGTAAGTAGGGAGGAACCTAACTTTTCATTACAAACCATTTTATATCTTTTTTATTTATACCATGTGCCTATATAACTTAATAATAAAATCTAAATTTTTAATGTAACTTTTCTCAATAAAGGTAAATCACTATCAGTGTTGTTCATCTATCCTTCAGGATTAATTGATATATTAGGCTAAGGACAGAGGTCAGAGAAGTCAGGAAAAAAAAGATTTACAGGAAGATGTGCCTACCCATTTTGGAACTCTACTTTTTAGGTGTGATTCTTTGAGCAAGTTAACTATGATCAATGAGTCCTCCCCATAAGTGTGGTATACATATTATAAGAAACAACACAATGCTATTATTGTTTACTATTTCATCTGTTTGACAAATGTTTATTGACAGGCTACAAATCAGACACTGTGTTAAGCATTAAACATACACTATTTCATTTGATGCCCACAATAAAGGTAAATATGATTGTTACTCTCGTTCTACAGTTGAGGCAACTGACGCTTTTGGGGGTTAAAACAGTTTACCCAAGGTATCACTGCAAGGAAACTCTCAAGTCAGGACTCAAATGCAAGTCTGTCTAGCTCCAGAACCTATGCTCTTGTTTTGACATGGCACTGAAACAGAGAGGTTAAAAGGGGAGCAGCATGAGGGGGAAAGTTTGAGGAGAGATTTTCCTCAACAGAAGTGGACCAAGTTGAAAAAAGAGGATGGGAAAAATTTAAAGATGGAAGAGTGATGCAATTTACAGCTGAGAGAAGCATTTGGCAAGAAGAATTGACCATTAGTACCAGATATGACTGCCATGGCAATGGAAAAAATGCAGTTTATTGATTGTGATGACGATAACAGATAGAGAGCCTTTGGTGAGAAAGAGTAGACAGATTCAAGACCTTAAAAAAGCCCAGCATGACTGAAGTATAGAATGCAAGTGACACAAAGGGCCTGAGAGGAGGCTGAAGAGATAGGTGGGTCTTTTCTTCTGGACTATGGTAAGGCATATCTTTTCCCTAAGTACAATAAAAAGCCACTTGATAAATTTTAAGCAAAGTAATAACCAAACTCAGATATTAGAAAGATAATTCTGGTTGCTAAATGCAAAAAGTAGGAAGAACAGTTGGAAGACAAATTCAGAAAGTAGTACAGGTGAGAGGTGAGGTTTAAAATGGTGAAGTACACATATTTAAATTATATTTTGGAAGTAGAATTAACAAGACTTGATGATGGATTGGATAGGGAAGCTAAGAAACACAACATATCAAGAACAGCTCCTGAGTTTATAGACTGAGGAAGCAGACAGATACCAATGGCTTTTATTGGGAAGAACTGACTGGTATGGGGAATACAAGTTTTGAAGTTTGAGACGTCTAGGCAATATAAACTATAAAAATGATACCTAACACTCATTGAGGGCTTATAATGGGTCACAAATTGTTCTTAATACTTTAATACAATGAGACGTGAAGTAGTTAGCTATATACAGTCTAGATTAGCAGAAAAGATCAAATTAAGGATATAAATTTAAGTCATGAGCCAAATTACTATGTAAATATGTAAATATGTAAACCTAGCTATTTATACTACATTACAATTGGTTTTTTTTTTTTTTTTTTTTTTTTTGAGGCAGAGTCTCTTTCTGTCACCCAGGCTGGAATGCAATGGCGTGATCTCGGCTCACTGCAACCTCTGCCTCCTGGGTTCAAGCAATTCTCCTACCTCAGCCTCCCAAGTAGCTGGAACTACAGGCGTGTGCCACTACTTTTTTTTTTTTTTTTTTTTTTGAGATGGAGTTTTGCTCTTGTTGCCCAGGCTGGAGTGCAATGGCACAATCTCGGCTCACCACAAACTCCGCCTCCCGGGTTCAAGCGATTCTCCTGCCTCAGCCTCCAGAGTAGCTGGGCTTATAGGCATGCGCCACCATGCCCAGCTAATTTTGTATTTTTAGTAGAGATGGGGTTTCCCCATGTTGGTCAGGCTGGTCTCAAACTCCGGACCTCAGGTGATCCGCCCACCTTGGCCTCCCACAGTACTGGGATTACAGGCATGAGCCACCATGCCTGGCCACAAAAATATTTTAACATACAAAAATATAAAGCTTAGAATGTATTCAAGACATGTTCTTACTTACCTGAGGAATATAGTTTCTTCTTTCTTGACATGCAGCATGAAACCATGCAAGACTGAAGAGAGCATGAGCTCGATGTGTATTATCTTTTTTGCTAATTTGCTCAGGAGTCCAAGACTCATAAGTACGCATTAAATTCTTCTTTAAACCTGGAGGTGACTAGAAAAAAAATCAACAGACATCCTATTGCTAAAATCCTACAAGTAAAATATATTAGATTTTAACATATTTAAGAACATAATTTAAAGAAAATTTTTCACTGCTTACCGGGTTTGAGTTAAATTATTATGTTACTTCAAAATGTACATAAAACTAGTGTTAAATTGCTTATATCTAACAGTTCATCTCAAATATAAATACAGAATAATTATTCAAATTTAAAAATCTATACAATAATATTCAAAATAACCAAATAAGTTTTATAGGATGATTGAGAGGTTTTTTTTTTCCCACTGACACTAAATCACTACTTAATAATACTAATGTGATATTGATTGTTATGGGACAGGTATTTGAGTTTAATACAGCAGCTTTCCCTTACTAGTTGCTATTTGAATTTCCATGAGGAATTCAACATACCATTTACATAGAATGTCAACTAACGTTCCTTATGCATTAGTCCAGATTTAAAGTATTACCTAACATTGCTAGGTTCATAGACACAAAAATCCAGGAAGTGAAATTATATATCAGACTAGTATAAAATCTTTAAAAATGTTCATCCATATGTATCATATCTGTCATTATTTTTTAAATTATCAAAATGATAACTTTTCAAGTTCATGGGAAAATAGCAAAACAACCCCCTCGAAAAGAATTCTAATATTAAAAAATATATAATGTGGGTTTTTCTGCCCAAGTTATTCTAATTAGCTTGTTTTAAAAATAAAATATTTCTTCCAAAATGGTTTCTAACATAAAAATAATAAATTCAGGGCAATACTTTAAGAATGCCTACTACAAAAATTAGTCATCCCCTTTGAAATCCTTTTCATTGTTATTTCTTAAGTAAAACGACCTTCTTCTTTAAAAAGTGGCTGGGTATGGTGGCTCACGCTTGTAATCCCAGCACTTAGGGAAGCTGAGGTGTGTGGATCACTTGAGGTCAGGAGTTCGAGACCAGCCTGGCCAACATGGTGAAACCCGCCTCTACTAAAAATACAAAAAATAAATAAAAAATTAGCCAGGTGTGGTGGTGCACACTTGTAATCGCAGCTGCTCAGCAGGATGAGGCAGGATAATTGCCTGAACCCAGGAGGCAGAGGTTGCAGTGAGCCAAGATTACAAAGATTACACCACTGTTCTCCAGCCTGGGCACAGAGCAAGACTCAGTCTCCCAAAAAAAAAAAAAAAAAAAAAAAAAGAAAATACACTACTGAAGTATTAAGTACCTATCAAATTTACACTTTTTTAATGAAAGCTTTTATGTTTATGAAACATTTACAAAAACCACCATAGATAAGGCCAAATTTCTGCACACTACTCAATAAAACATGACATTAATAGGAAACCAAACAACCACTTAGAGTTTTTAAAAAGGCACTACACTAAAGATCATACAAATTAATAAATCCTATACAGTTACATAGAAAATCACATATAAGTACAGACTGAAAAATAAATGAAACAAAAATACTAATATGCCAAAATTATGAAATAAAGCCAAAGACATATTAAGCTGCAAATTCAGACTTAGAACAATTTCAGTATGAATACAAGCAAATACAAAACAACCATTCAACTCAAGAAATCAGGAAGAAGAAAACGAGAAAAAATCTAAAGACAGCATTAGAAAGGAAAACAGAAAAAAGAAGAAAATTCGGTGAAATGAAAAGAATAAGAAAAAGCAAATTCATAAGTATAGCAACAGTTACTTGGAAAAACAATTTTTTAAACAACTCTGACAACTAATCGAAAAAGGAAAAAAATAATGAAGTGAATTTAACAATTTTAAAAAATAATATATGCCCATATTATATATATGCACATACATATAATCATTTTGAACATCTCAATGAACTACACAGATAGTCTAAGCTAAGATAGTTAAAATTTCCTATAGTGATTCAAGAAATAAAAAAATTCACTAATAATTGAAATCAAATTGGAAATTCCCATAAAAATATAATCAAATTACCTCTTAACAAGATCCCAGAAAAGGTTACACATTAAAACATTCAAGGAACAGTTTACCTGGTATAATAATACTCTCTTATCGAAATATTTACTGAATTCCTCTTACTTGGCCTTGAATTACATGCTAAGTTCAAAAATGCAAGCAAAAAAAAATACCCCCTGCCCTCATGGCTCATGCAATCCAGTCCTAGAATATAGATTAGTAGAATTGTATAGTGGGATTGTAGCTGGAGAAGATTCTGGGAAAGTTCTTTCTTACTAGACCTTATAATCATTCAATTAAAATATTTCTAATATTAAATCATCTTTGCATTTCTGGATTAATGCTTACCCTTTTTTTTTTCCTTAAATGAAACAAACACCTTCAGATGAAAAAGAGCAGTACTGATCTAAAATAACAGGTAGGACCAGGCACAATGGCTCATGCCTGTAATCCCAGCATTTTGGGAAGCCAAGACAAGAGAATTGCTTGAGCCTAAGGAGTTCAGGACCAGCCTCGGCAACATAGTTAGGCCTCGTCTCTCAAAAAAAAGAAAAAAAAAAAGAAAAGAAATAAAAAAATTATCTGGGTGTGGTGAAGCACCTGTAATTCCACCTACTCAGAAAGCTGAGGTGGGAGGATTGCTTGAGCCCAGCAGGTCGAGACTGCAGTGAGCTGTGATAGCATCACTGCACTCCAGCCTGGGTAACAGAGCGAGACCCCATCTCAAAAAAAAAAAAAAAAAAAAAAAATAGCATGCAGTTACAAACACTAATAAAATGACAGTTTTAATAGTTTGCTATTTCATTTATGACTCTGACAAATCACAAAATATCATTACAAACACAATTTTAGCTATATAAGGTTTGGGTTGGATCTACCTAGCATTACATATTAGAGAGATACAAGGATGGATGGACATAAGCATAGAAGGAAGGCAGGGAGGTTGGGAACAATCAACAGAGTGAAAAGCAATCTATAGAATGGGAGAGAATATTTGCAAACCATACATCTGATAAGATACTAAGCAATTAGTATCCAGAATATATAATGAACTATTAATACAACTCAACAGCAAAAAATTAAATAATTTTAAAAGTAGGCAAAGAATTTGAAAAGACATTTCTCCGAATAAGATATATAAATGTCCAAACATATGAAAGATGCTCAACGTTACTCATTACCAGGGAAATGCAAATCAAAACCACAAACAGACATCACCTCACACCCACTCAGACGACCACTATTAAACACACACACTCAAAGAAAAGTGTTGGTGAGGATGTGGACAAATTGTTCAGTGCTAGTGGGAATGTAAAACGATGTAGCCACTATGAAAAACAGTATGAAGTTCCATCAAAAACTTAAAAATAGAATCACCATATGATGCAGCAATCCCACTTCTGGCTACATATCCAAAATAATTGAAAGCAGAATCTTGAAGAGATATGTGCTCACCAGTGTTCACTGTATTATTCACAACAGCCAAGAAGTCAAAGACCTAAATGTCCACTGATGGATTAATGGATAAAGAAAATGTGGTATATACATACAATGAAATATTATCCTATCTTAAGAAAGGAAATCCTGCCACATGCTAAAACATGGATGAACCTTGAGGACATTATGTTAAGTGAAATAACAAAAAGATAATCCATGATTTTACTAAATGAGGTAGCTAAAGCAGTCAAACTCTTAGAAAGTAAAATGGTGGTTGCCAGAGGATAGGGCAAAATGAAGAGTTGCTCTTCAATGGTCATAGAGTTTCAATTTTGCAAGATAAAAAAAGTTCTACAGATCTACTGCACAACAAGGTGCATATTGCACTACACACTTAAAAATTGTTACGATAGCAAATGTCATGTTATGTGTTTCTTACCACAATAAAAACAAAAAACATAAGTATGAAATAAAATTTGAAAAGATTTAAATGTATTTTACATCATCTTATGCTATTATCTATGTATACCTCATCTAAATGTAAAAAGAAGTTGTGTGTTCTGTATAATAGTTGTTTACAAAGTTTTAGAAGTCATGTATAGAGTACTGCTTTCATACAACTGGTGATCCAAGTTTTAAATCTTCTTACCTCATATGTTATCTTCAGACTTGACTGTAGTAAAATAGGAGTAAAGTTGGGATGAACTTCTGCAGTGAGCCAAAGACGAAAGGTATCTTTAGGTTGAAGAGTATTCAATTCCTTGTTTACAAAACCAATGACAAAAATTTACTTAAATATATATGAAAGTTTCTCTTTTACATTACATTATTAGTAACTATTTTTAATTAAAACTTTTGTGACATTCTGATGTATTTCTTAATGCTCTGGTTATATTTCCTTTAAATTTTTATCTTTTCTATTACTAGCTCAGTGTAATGAATAAGAATCTCCATCTAAAGTCATGTTGACTGGGTTGAAATTCATACTTTGCCACTAATCTGCTATGTGACCTTGGTCTCTTTGACTTATTCCATCTCTAAACAAGGATAATAATAGCACCTATCACAAAGAATTGTTTAAGACACTAAAACAGTGCCTGATACATAGTAAGTTCAAAGTAAGTGTTAGCTACAATTGCTATGCCTAAACTACCAGCCTTCTTAAGGTCTTTAGATTCTCACTGCTTTAATTCATGCTTCTACAGAGTTATATAATGATATTAATTCCCTTATTTACAATTTTTAGTAGCACCTTATGGCCTATAATATAAATTCAAAACTTCACCATACAAATTCATCTGCCCATGCTTCTCATACTGTGGGCTTTAGTCATTTATCCAGACTCTTATGACTATCTTTACTCATCATATTTCCTCTGCCTATTATTCTCTTTGTACTCTGACAAATTATTACTTATCTGTCAAAATACAATTTAAATATTATGTCTTAGTGGAATATCTTCTCCAACTCTTCACTATCACAATCCCAACCAGATTTAATGACCCATGTCATTTTGTAAATTTTTCCCACAGTATTCTTCATCCCACAATATAGTTATTAATGTGATCTGTCTCTTCTAAATTAAGTTCCCAGAGAGCAGGTACAAATTCTGTAGGTAACCAGAACCTGGCACAATTTCTGGCTTTTTCTTGTACTCAGCAAGTATTTGTAAATTTAATAAATGAATAAATAAATGACAGAAGAAGTTTTGATAGCTCTAAAAGAGAATGAAGTCTAAAAATTATTTTAATATAATTGATGTTTAACACTAACATTCATTTAATATCACGTGAAATGTAGAGTTAAGATGACAAAAAAATGACAAAAGAATGGCCCTAAAAACATTGTGCTTGCTTAAAATTATAAAGGATAAAATGTATTTACACCTCATAACTTTAAAATGTAAAGTTTATATAAAACTTTGCTTTGGGTTAGCAAATCTAAAAAAATTTAAAAGGTAAAAGAAACAATACATTGTGATATAGTTGGATTTATAGCTGGATATAGTTGGATTTACAGTAAATTTATAAATTTATATCCAATCAATCCACCCAAACTAATAGAAAAGCAAATAATAATCAGTTATTTTAAAAATTATATAATATTATGTACTGTTTCTACGAGTTCTAATTAAGATGTGCTTTCAAGATAATAACTCTAATTACATTTTACATAGATTAGTAGCTATCAATCAACTGTTTGACACAGAAAGCAGTACAAGTATTTGCCAGTCTTTTTTACATATCTTAAAACATACATGATTTATCAGGCTAGGCGCGATGGCTCACGCCTGCAATCCCAGCACTTTGGGAAGCTGAGGCAGGCAGATCACTTGAGGCCAGGAGTTCGAGACCAGCCTGGCCAACAATGGCAAAACCCTGTCTCTAATAAAAATACAAAAATCAGCCAGGCATGGTGATGCATGCCTGTAATCGCAGCTACTTGGGAGGCTGAGGCACGAGAATCATTTGAACTTGGGAGGTGGAGGTTGCAGTGAGCCAAACTTGTGCCACTGCACTCCAGCCTGGGTAACAGAGCAAGATTCTGTCTCAAAAAAAACCCAAAACAAAACATATATGATTTATCAGACATAAATTTTATATTTTTACACATTAGTAATTTTTACAGAAAGCCATAATAGAATTACATGAATATTCATAGTCCAAAATCTGTATCTTCTCTTGATTACAAGTAATGAATCACGAATCACCATGGTCCATCAACTCATTCACTCACTCATTAACTTACTCATCAAAAATTTACTGACTATTTGTGGAAGTGTGTAGTTGCCAATTAATTAGGACTGCAGAGATTTTTAATACCTCACACCTAGGGCAGGACCTCCCTCAATTTACTCTATTCTGTTTGTTTCTATTCTATATACCACTGCCAGAAAAAATTAATTAATTAATTAATTACTAACTTCTCTGTTAAGGACCTCCTTTGGCCCTCTAAGTCCCAGGACAAAAATTCCAAAATGTTCTGCATGGTTCTCAGGGTATTCCATAACCTAGCTCTTTCCTAGTCATCTAATTCAATTTCCCCACGCTTCCCTGCCTGGCCCGTCTAGTACTATCAAGGACATCTCTTCATTCCTTGTACTAGGGGTGGACATCCCCAACACTATCTCTACTTGTGCTGATGGAATTAAAATCATGATATCCTTTCTTTGCCTATACTTAGCAAAATCCTATTTGACTTTCAAGGAATATCTCTTCAGAATCATCTTTAACTACCCAAGACCCTACTCATCTTTCTTAAATAAGCACTAGAATAAAATCTAGGTTTGCATGTAAAGCCCATCCAGTGACTTGTCCTGTCTTAAGATTATTTTTCTCCTGAGTCCATTTGAGATAAACGAAACATTTGCTTCAGTTTATTCTCTAGCTTCCTTAGCACCTAGGAAGTTAGGCAGTTCCCTCTGACACCCCACTATGTCTCTTCTCCCAATACAGATCAACAGAATAAGAGCAAAAAAAGAAACTCATGGTATAAATATGTCTTCTAAGCTTCCCTGTCAATCTTCATTAAAAATGTCTTGGCTTCTCTTATATGCCTTTAAAAAAAGATTTTTATAGACTTCCTATTAATGTCTTATTTTGCAGAATTGTACATATTTATGAAATATTTAAATTTAAAATTTCTCAAATATTACTTTTTAAATCATCATAAATAATGCATGACATTTTAATACTGATGTCCCTTGGAGATTGCTAAGTTGAGTATAATAGATATTATTTGTACATTTATCTGAATCTACCTTTTCCAGAACTGGCAGCCAAGATACCACAAGATGTAAGTTCTTCAAACAGAGCCAGTCTCCATTGCGGGCACATTCTTTTAGCATTTGAATTGCTAAATCAGCTTGACCTTGACCCATGGCAACCTACAAAAGCAAAAAAACAAACAAAATTTAAAAACAGATCTGCTAACATGTTGTAATATAACAGTATGAGATTCAATAATAGTAATCCCTAAACCTTCCTAACTGGCTTTAATAATAAATTTGGAAGAAGAATCAAACTAATACCAGAAATTAATCTTCATTAAATAATTAAAAGCTTATATGAATAGTTTAACCTTCCTGCCAAAATCACTAGTAACAGGTACAATCTGTAGAGCTCCCCTTCCTAAGATCCCTCACTGATAACTGAATATTGACCTAATGTATAAACTAATCTACTCTAACTATGATTGACTAGAACTCTCTAGACTTAGTGCAAAACCTTCACACCTGAGCCTAACAGCGCTGCTATTTTGCTATCTTTCATTTATATTTTTCTTTGTAGAATTTTCACTTTTCAATTTTTGGTTGCTATGAAGTATTCAGTTGTTTAAAAAATCATTATTAACTATTTTCCCTGTGAAAAAGATGTATTCACTTCTTAAAAATTGAGGGTGAATTAATACATTTCATTTTCAAATTTACATGCAAATTGAAAAAAAGGCACCCTGAACAAACAAAAGTTCCTACCTCAGGGAAAAAAAAAATGGCATTACAATGAATACATTTTACTCAAGATTTTCTGGATTTCTTTCAGGTCAGGTAAATAAAGTGTAAATAAACATTACTGTGATTTATTATAAAAGCATCCAAGTAAAATTTTAAAAATAATTCTCAAAATGGTAGCAAATGTATGAATTTCCTATAACTGCTTTAAGAAATTACAACAGATTTAGTGCCTTAAATTACCATCAGACTTCTGGCGGCCAGAAGTTTCACTGGTCTAAAATCAAGGGTCTGAGTTTGAAAACAAAGGTACTACTATAGGGCTATGTTCTTTCTAAAGGCTCTAAAAGATAATTCTTCCCTTGTTTTTTCCAGTTTCTGAAAGCCACCTACATTTCTTTCCTTATGGCCCGTTCCTCCATCTTCAAAGCCAGTAGCACAGCACCTTCTCACTTCTCTGACCTCTACTTCTATCATCATATCTCCTAGCTGCACTCTCGACTCACCTGCCTCCCTCTTATAAAAAACCTTTGTGATTTTATATTGGGTCCACCTGGCTAATCCAGGCTACTCTTCCCATCTGAAGATCCTCAATTACATCAGCAAAGTTCCTTTTGCCATGGAAAATAACATATCCACAGTTCTGAGGATTAGGACATAGACATTTTTGGGGGCATTATTTGGCTTATCACAACAAAAAATGTCCATTTGACCAATATCATCAAGTGTGGGAACAGCAATAGCAAAAACAAAAACAGCGGGACAATATGTACTTACCTGGTGATAACACTCTCCGCTTCTTTCAGCATTAGCTAGTTCTTGAAGTTCCTGAGAAGGATCAGCACCCGGAGAAATAATTATCAAGATGGGTTCAATTTCCAGTGTCTCTTTGTATAAACGTTTGAGATTTAGAGGCAGTGGGGACACCTCTTTCAGTCCTAAAATATATATTTTAAAAATTAAAAATAAAAGCAGTATGCATTATTAAAAAGTTTATTAAATCTAATTATATGATATATAATAGAGAATACCCAGGTGAGTTGTAATCTCATAATACATTAAAGTTTTTCTACTCTAAAATAATATACTAGTAATAGCCAACATCTGTTTTATGCTTAAGGTGCCGGGCATTTTTCTAAATGTTTTCCACGTATGATATCATCTTCTTATTACAATGCTATGAGGTAGGTACCCTGATTACCACATTTAACATCTGTGTTGTAAATTGAGACCACAATACAGGCCTGTAGCTGTACTGTAAATTGAGACCACAATGCAAGAGAAGACTGAACCCAACCATCAATCTATATATCTCATTAGTACAATACAATTCATTAACTGATATGATAGTTGAGTGCCTACTCTGTGTCACGCATATGGGGAATCAGATTTCTCATGATCTGAGTAAATGATTTCACTGGCATGATATAGGCCAAAAAGTTATTTCTTATGCCCATGTGTTATGGGGAAAAAAAGTTGTATGGAGAGTGAAAAGAATGCTTCATTTAAGACAGAAGTACATAGCTGTCAGTTTATATTTGTTAGCCAAATGACTCTATGCAAATCATTAAAATGCACTGTGCCTCAGTTTCCTCAATTGCAAAACAAGGATAAAGCAATCCACAGGTACTCTGGAAGCAAAATAAGTATAATAATTGTAACAAATTCTATTTATTCATCACCTACTGAATACTAAGCATTATACTGGGTAGTTTATTTAAATGATATATAAACCATACAATGCTCCTGAGAAACAAATATCACTATATTAATTTTATAGGTAAGAAAACTAATACTCAAAGAAATTGATTATCTTGCCAAAGGGCACCCAGCTGCCACCATTAACTATATTTAAACAATTCATCTGTGATTTTTCTGCTCTGTAGCCCTTCACAAACTATAAAGTCCTATTCAGATAAGAGATTATAATTTTGCTATTATATTTAAATCTCTTCTGCTAAAACTTGAAAGTTTCCATTATTAATATATTTCATAAAGGCCAAACTGAAAAGGCTCATGTCAATTAATAATTTAAAATATACTTGTTTGAATTGAGCTAAAATGAGTGTTACACAGGAGTTTAAAAATAAACGAAAAATTAGGAGAATGTAACTGAATGAGTACATGGGCAAGAAAGGCTTCCATATATTCTCAAAAATAGAAGTGAATAGACAAGACTGCACCTCAGATATGGACATCCTTAAAGAATTAAGAATAATAAACACTTTAAAATATAAACTCTGTGTTATCATGATGGGTCAAAAGAGACAATTCTAGATAGCCAACCAGAAAAGGTACATTTCACGCCTAAAGCAGCACCCTTGTCTGTTCTTCACAACAACTACCCATAATGCTAAGAATTTCCAAAGGCAGAAATATTCCTAATAACAGGTGAAATTTACTCCAAGAGCCACTTAAAATTGATGAATTGCTTTTAGAGGCATATTTTATAAATTTTCTTTTTAACTAAGTTTAAATTGCTAACAACTATTCAATTGTTAGCAATTTAAATTTAGCAATAAAGAATTCTTACATACTTGCAATGCAGTAAGAAATATTTCCATTGATTCAAGCATTCAGTTATTTATTCATTAACTCAATAAACATCTAGGCCAATTAAATATATTGTCTGATTTAATAAAGTGTATCAAAAGTCTTAAAAATGTACATGGCCTTGATCAGTAATTAAAATTAGAATAACTTAAGAAACAATTCAGGATATGGACGCAGAAGCATGTACAAGGGCTTTTCATTGTAGCTGTTGATATTAGCTAAAAACTGGTAGAAAGAAACTGAGTTTCTAACAGGAGTCTGAGTAATTTCTGATAGCCATACATTAAAACTGAAGTTACAAACATGTTGAGGTAAAAGATAATTTACAGAAAAATCAGACCATTCAAGAGATTTGGCAATAATTCCATATTGTAATGTATACACTTCTATGTGCATAAAAAGAAAGCAAAGGCATACATAGAAACGTTAACAATGATTAGTGTTAATGATGGAATACCAGGTGTTTCTCATTTTCTTTTCATGTCTATGCATTTTCTGATACTCCTGTAATTACCATGTATTATACAATAAAAATGTCAAAATATATATAAAATATTTACATTTAAAATAACTACTTACTGACTTAAGTGTATTTTATTTGGAAAATACATGCCAGTACAAAAACTGTCTAAAAAAGCTAAAATGCAGATTACCATACCACTTGTTTATTTAACCAATGTACACTGTAAACTTCATGAGGGCAAGAATCATACTGAATCTTTCACTACTTTATTATCCAGAGCCTAGTAAATTCAATTATAACTTTTAATTTTAAAATCCCACAGGATATAAATATATGTCCATTAATTCATTTTACACAATATTTCAAAGCAATAAAACATTTTGAGTTGGAGAAAAAAATCATGAAAAATACCTTGCCATTTAATATAACACAGGTGACATTCATGTTACTTGGAATTATATGTTAGCCATCCTGCCCACAAAACTCCAGCAAAATTTCTGTTGCACTTTAAGTGAACTGAGTATACTGGTTTTATCAATCCAAATAATTCTGATTCATGATACCATCAGAATCATCAATATGAATCATTCAAAACTATTTAATATAGTTAGAGAGCCAAAAATAATAATTGCACTGTGAATTATCATGTAAAACTATTTGGAAATCACTGGAACTTTATATTCTGACCATAATTTAAAAAATAAATACAGCACTTCCTTCAAAAAAATAAGAATAAGACAAACGAATAACTGAAACCTTTATTGTTTTTTATTTTATGCAAATACAATACTGAGATAACAAAAAAGAAACAACTTGCAGTTCAAAAAGGAACAAATTGACTCCCGTACTTTGCAGGTACCTGAGTAAAGAAAGTGGCAAATTATCAAAACTATTATACGTAGTAAGTATAATAGATTCATTCTTTTTAATTCCTCTCATCCTCCATAACAAAGAGCTGATAAGTATCAGATGTATAAAATTACCTTTCTTTTATGAGAAAACAATTGTAAAAATGTACCACAAACATCAATAAAAAGAGGAAAATCAACAGCCACTACCTAACCCAATATATATGAACCAATTAAATGGGAAACTGCACTTTAGAAATGGAATAGTACTGAACCCTAGAAACAAGTAAAAATGTCAAATATATTGTGGTAGGCAGAATTCTAAAGATACCTCTTTCAAGAATCCTAAGCCCTGGTTATTCAATCAAAAACTAAACTAAGTACTGCTGTGAAGGGACTTTGCAAATGTAACTAAGGTCATGAACCTAAAAGTAAGAAGATTATCCTGTGTTATTCAGGTGGGCCAAGCTAATCAATTGACCCCTTGAAAGCGGAGCAGTTTCTCTTGTTAGAGTCAAAGAAGTGTAGCAGAAAAGAGAAACAGGAGTGATATGAAGCATGCAAAGGAATCGATCTGCTAATGTTGGCTTTAAGGATGGAGGAAGGCTAGATACCAACTGGCATCCAAAAGCTGAGAATGACACCAAAAGACAGAAAGAAAATGGGGACCTCACTCCTAAAACTGAATAGGGCTGAACCTGAATGGGTTTGGAAGTGGATTTTCCCCAGGGCTTCCAAAACTTGGAGCAAAGAAACCTGGTGAGCCCATCAGGTTTCTGACCTGCAGAAGATGATAACTGGGCATTGTTTAAACCTGATAAATTTCTAGCAGCAACAGAAAATGAATGCACATATCCTTATGTCTTTCTTTCTTTTAGACACAAACTTGATAAGACAGATTGAGCTATGAAAGCAGGGTGCATGGGATGGGATGATGCCATAAGAGGTACAGAACTGTAAAACTAGGAAAGATGCATAGTTCAAAAATAACTTTTGGATGAAGAACGTTTAAAAATTTCTGGTTACTGTAGTTATTGTAGCACCGTATGGGGACATGTCTCTTTACATTTCCAATACCTCAATACACATAGTATAATATACTCCTCATGATAGTCATTTTAAGTCAAAATTATATCAGAATTACAGAAGTAAGAATACTTGCATCTGGTCACTACCATTTCTAAAAAGTAACGTAGTAGATTTTGCCAGCACATAAGTCTTGCTTTGTAGAATCATATTAAACAGGCATCCCTAAAAGCTTTGAGGACTGCTATGCTAATTTAAATATTCAAATCAAGACTACTTTCATAAATACATCTTTTTAACTTACTATTTTAAGGTTTACAGATTATAAAAAATTGCTAAAACTTAATAAAGATCTTTCCATATGAATGATGCTTGAGAAATTACATTTAAAATCAAAGCTCTAAAATTTGATTAAAAAGAGGGAAGTGCCTGTTGTTCTCTGGTAATTTGAATTTTTAAAACTTATTCCTGAAATAAAAACTCCAATTTTACATTAAAACAATTTAATAAAGCTACCTGACCAAATACAAAGTCATACAGCCATACAATAGTAAACATAATTTTTGCTTAGAAATAGTATGATTTTAAAAGTGTATTAAACTTTCAAAGCATCTGAATATATAAATAATATGAGGTTTTTAATTAATGCCATTAAACCTTGAATGTCATTTGACCTGGAGATGAAATAGTACCATAAGTATTTCAAAGAGTTGATGGGGAGTTAAACTATAAAATCAGTAAGAAAGGTTATGTGCCATGTGGCACAAAAAACGTATATTAAAGACTAAATGGGTAGGAAAAAAAAACCTCTCTTAAGAACCTCTCTGAAAAGTGTCCTGTTTTATTTTAACATGCGTTTGAGCAATAGGAACAGCAAGTGCAAAGGTTCTGATATTCCAGAAACATACTTAGAGCAGTAAAAAAAACAAGAAAAAGACTATTACGTTGGTAAAGAACTGAGCAAGGGTCAAGAGTGGTTAGGAGATAAGATCTGAGGGTAAGACCTTGTAGGACATTATAAGGATTCTGAAGAAGATGAGATGTCACATTCCATCAGAAGACTTGGAGCAGAGAAGTGATATGATCTAATTTATATTTCAAAAGGCACTTAGCAGCTATGTTGAGGATAGACTTAAAGTGGGGAAGGATAGAAGCCTGAATGGTAATAATCTCGCTTATATAAAAGTGGCTTAAACAAAGTGGTAGAAAGTCCTAAAGGTCTGAGAAGTGACTGGATTCTGGATATACTCTAAACATAGAGACAACAAATAAAAGGTATGGCAGTAATTGAGAGCTGATGATAGCTTGTATTAGGTTGGTACTAATAAAGCAAATAAAATGAATTCAGAGTAAGTTTTAGGGTTGAAACCAAAAGAATTTGATGGTAGATTGAGTATAGAAAGAAAGAAAAGAGAGGAAAGAATTACATGAGCTGCATAATGACTTTTCAATCAACGATGGACCATGTATACCATGGTTGTTCCATAAGATTATAATGCTGTATTTTTACTGTATCTTTTCTATGTTTAGAGACACAAATACCTACCACTGTGTTACAATTGCCTATAGCATTCAGTACAGTAACATGCTGCACGGGTTTGTAGCCTAAGAGCAATAAGTTATACTACATAGCCTAGGTGTGTCTGAGGGTGTACAATCAAGGTTTACGTACACTCTATGATATTCACACAATGAAACTGCCTGACACATTTCTTAGAATGCATCCCCACTGTTAAACAACACGACTGTACTTTTGTTAAACACTGTTAAACTGTTAAACAACTGTTTAACAACACATGACTGTACTTTTGTTAAACAACACTGCTAAACTGTTAACTGTTTAACAACACATGACTGTACTTTTGGGGTTTTGGATTAAACAACTGAGTAGATGCTAGTATAAAAAAATCAAAAGTTCTGTACTGATCACATTAAATTTGAGACATTTATTTTTGATGTTTTTAATATAAAAACATCAAATAAGCATTAAATATACAAGCTTAGAATTCCAGGGCTGGAAATAAGAGATATAAGCATCAGTAATTTAAGAATGATATTTAAATCCAGGGATTGGGTAAGGTCACCTACAGAGAGAATGTGTAATAATGAAAGAATAAAACCCAGGGTAAAACTATAGTAAAAAAGAAAAGTACTCTAACACTTAGAAGACATGCAGACAAGAAGCCAGTAAAGGAAAGTAAAAAGGAACAGCCTAAGAGGGTTGGGGAATGAAAAAAGAAACATAACAATCAAGAGAAGAATGTGTTCTAGAAAGAAATGAACAATTTTGAGTTTAGAAAGAAGTAAAAAATAGGATAGTGGCTAGAAAAGGGTCTCAGACCAAGGGAGGTATTTTTAAGACAGAAGATAGTAAAATATATTTGTATGCTGAAAAAAAAAAGATCCAGAAAAGAAGGTGAAATTCGTGATGTGGGAGAAGATGATAATGGCAGAAATGAAGAAGAAAACAGCAAATGAGTTGAGCTTTGATTACAGCAAAGACATTCATTCACAGTCAGAGAAAGGAAAGCAGAATGAGTATGAGTACTAAGGCAAATGGTAGATGTGTTGATGGGAAATGAAGAATTTTTGTCCTATTGCTTCTATTTTCTCAAAAATGCTAGTAAAAGCCTACTTCAATCAACTAATTTTAGTGCTAAATACAGGGACAACTGTTCTCCATATTCTTAGATGTGTATTATACAGTTATTACTCACCATGTTTATCCAAATTTGGGAACATGTTAATTGTTCCAGTAACAAGATAAAGTATTTTCAAAAGCATTTCCAAACATGGACACCAGCATCTTTTTTTCCAACTACTTCAGTCTTTAGACTCAACAGTTAAGAAGGAGGCAGAGCAAGATGGCCAAATAGAATCCTCCAGCAATTGTCCCCTTCAGGAACATCAAATTGAACAACTATCCATGCAAGAAAATACCTTCATACAAACCAAAAAATCTAGTGAGTGATCACAGCAGCTGATTTCAATAGACTCACAAGTAAAGAGGCATTGAAGAGAGTGAGAAGAACAGTCTTGGATTGCCTATACCACTCCTACCCCAACCACAGGCAGCACAGCACAGAGAGAATCTGTGTGCGTAGGGGAGGAAAGTGAGTGTGACTTTGCATTGGAACTCAGTGTGGTCCTGTCACTGAGCGGAACACAATACTGTTGCAGGAATCAGGAGGACCAGAGAGACCTCGGAGTAAAGCAGGAGGATTTTATCGAGGGCACTCAGACCCAGTGGATTAACATCCTGAGACTGGGCCCGGAACAAAGATAGCTCTTGACCTTTATACACCCTTCAAAAAGGGAGTGAGCTAACTTGAAGCAGGATTACAGTGGTGTGAAAGCAAGGATAGAGAGGCAGAACAAAGGCAGTTAATCAAATTGTGACAGGTGCATAACTCAGAATTACACATGACCCTTGCTATTCAGCACAGATGGTTGTTATCTAGGTTTTGCTCTAGTGTCTTGCACAGGCTTATTTCATAACCTTCACTATGGTGCCCAGGTGGCTGTAGCTCAGGCCTTCTCAGATGGCTCATGACCTTCATTGTACCACTTAGATAAAACAGAATACTTGAAGTTATTAGTTACAGAGAACAGCAATCTATAAACTCATACCATAAGAGAAAGAAAAATTTGTTTTTCTCCTCCCTAAGTTGAGGGAGTGCTGGGAGAGTCTCCAGAGAACATTCCTTTGTGTCCTAGCTTCGCAGATAGTTGTTTATCGAGGCTTTTCCTGGGTCTGGGCTGTGCCTGTTGCTGCTTCTAGGATAAGTCAGCCTAATACAGGAAAGCTTATTTCTTTTTCTTTTTCTTTCTTTAATTTCCTCCTCATTACCAGACAGAATTCTACCAGTGCCCATGGAAGGAGCATATACAGCAGCCCGGGGCCAGAGGGAAGTCCTCTGCTTCAGAAGGAGGAAACCAAGTCCCAGTCATCTTCACCACTAGCTAATTAAATGGCCTGAGGGCCCAAATAAATCTGAGTGGCAGTCAGGACACAGTGACTGCAGTCCTTGGGCAAGCCCTGGTGCTATTCTGATGTCCATAGCAGTGGGCTTGGGGTGTGACCCAGTGTAACACCAATTGCAGCAGCCCACAAGAGTACTTGCATCACCACTCCCTCAACTCCAGGCAATGCAGCACATGGACACGTTCCTTCTCTTTAGAGGAAGGCAAGAGAAGAGTACAGAGGATTATGTCTTGCAAATTGGACACAAGACCAGTCACAGGAAAATAAAGCACCAGGAAGATTCCTGAAGCCTATGATTCCAGGCCTTTGCTCCTTAGTTGATGTTTCAAGATCCATTCTGGGCCAGAAGGCAACCTGCTGGCTTATAACCTGCTGACTAAAGTAGCCTCAGGCCTTGAATTAACATCAGTGACAGCCAAGCAGTAGTGGTCACAGGCCTTGGGCAAGCCTCAGTACTGTGCTGGTGTGGAAGGCTTGAGGCTTCAGGTATGACTCAGCATGGTGCCAGCTGCGGTGGTCAAGGCAGAGCCCATATTGCCTCTCCCCAAACTCTGGGAAACCCAGCATAGAGAAAGAATCCTTTTGCTTGGGGAAAAGAGAGGAAAGAGAGCAAAAGATTTTGTCTAGGAACCCAGAGAATTCTCCCTTATCTTCCTAAGGTCCACCAAGGCTGTGTTTCTAGGAGTCTGCAAGAGTCATAGAGTTCTTGGGCTTAGGGTTCCCAATAGTGCTAAAACAGCTTTAGTGAAAACAGGCTTAGGTAAAAACACTCAGTCTCCTTTGGATTCCTAGAAAGCCCTCTCAAGAAGAATAGGTAAAAACAAGTCCAGACTCTGAAGACTGGAATAAATATCTAGCTCTTCAATGTCCAGACAATGATGAAGGTCCACAAGCATCAGAAACATCCAAGAAAACATGACCTCAGCAAATGAACTAAATAAGGTACCAGTCACCAATCTTGAAGTAACAGAGATATGTAACCTCTCCGACAAGAAATTCAAAACAGCTGTCTTGAGGAAATGCAATGAACTTTAAGATAACACAGAGAATTAATCAGAATTATATCAGAGAAAAAAATTTTTTGAGACACTCTCACTAGCCCAGGCTGGAGTGCAGTGGTGTAATCTCGGCTCAGTGCAACCTCTGCCTCTCCCAGATTCAAGCAATTCTCCTGCCTCAGCCTCCCAAGTAGCTGGGATTAGAGGCGCCTGCCACCATGCCTGGCTAATTTTTGTGTTTTTAGTACAGATGGGGTTTCACCATGTTGGCCAGGCTGGTGTTGAATTCCTGACCTCAAGTGATCCGCCCAACTCGGCCTCCCAAAGTGCTGAGATTACAGGTGTGAGCCACTGTGCCTGGCCTATATCAGAGAAATTTAATAAAGAGATTCAAATAATTTTATAAAAACAATCAATTCCTAGAGCTGAAAAATACAATTAACAAACTGAAAAATGCATCAGTGTCTCAATAACAGAATTTATCAAGCAGAAGAATAAATTAGTGAGTTTGAAAACATGAAAATATAGAGGAGAAAAAGAAAGAAGAATAAAAAGGATGAAGTATGCCTACAAGATCTAAAAAATAACTTCAAAAGGACAAATCTATAACTTATTGGCCTTGAAGAAGATGTAAAGAAAGAGATCAGGATATAAAGTTTGTTCAAAGAAATAATAACAGAGAACTTGCCTAGCATAGAGAAAGATAAGAATATCCAGGTACAAGACAGCCAAAATCACTAACAGATTCTATCTAAATAAGACTTCTTCATGGCATATAATAATCACTCTTAAAGGCCAAGGACAAAGAAAAGATTCTAAAAGCAGCAAGACAAAAGAAGCAAATAACATATAAAGAAGCTCCGTATGTCTGGCAGCACATTTCTCAGTGGAACCCTCACATGCCATGAGGGAGGGGGATGACATATCCAGAGTGCTAAAGGCAAAAAAAAGCTTCCAACTTAGAATATTATATCCAGCAACATCATTCTTCAAACATAAAAAAGAAATAAAAACTTTCCCAGGCAAACAAAAGCTAAAAAATGTCACCAACACCAGAACTATAAAGGGAATTCTTCAATTTAAAAGAAAAGGATTCTCAAGCAACAAGAAATCATCTGAAGGTATAAAAGTCACTGGTAAAAGTAAGTATACAGACAAATACATAAAATGCTAACACTGTAATTGCGGTGTGTAAGTCACTTGTGTTAGGCATTCCTGTGTCGCTATAAAGAAATACCTGAGATGGGCTAATTTAAAAAGACAAGAGATTTGATTGACTCATGATTCTGCCAGCATGGTACCAGCACATGCTAAGCTTCTGTGGGGGCCTCAAGAGAGCTGTTACTGATGGCAGAAGGCAAAGGAGAAGCAGGCATCTCACATGGTGAGAACAGCAGCTTGCATGTTACATGGCAAAAGGAGGAGCAAGAGAGAGTAGGGAGGGTGGTGCCACATGCTTAAACAACCAGGTCTTGAGAGAACTCACTCACTATTGTGAGGACAGCACCAAGCCACAAGGGATCTGCCCCCATGGCTCAAATACCTCCCACCAGGCCCCACCTCCAACACTGGGGATTACAATTCAACATGAGATTTGCTAGGGACGTATATTCAAAGTATATCACCATTCATATCTTTATTATGAAGTCTGAAAGATACCTATCAAAAATACTAACTACAATAAATTGTTAAGAGATAGACAATATAGAAAGATATAAATTGAGACCAAAAAAATCCCCAAAATGGGGGAAAGGGAATTGAGTTTAAGTGTAAATTTTTTCTTTTTGCTTGGTTTGTTTTTCTTTTCTTTTCTTTGTAATCAGAGTTAAGTTGTCATCAGTTTAAAATCCACTGGTTATGTTTTCTTCAAGCCTCATAGTAACCACAAAGGAAAAACTTATAATGCATACACACATAAAAAAAAGCAAGAAGTTAAAATATACTACCAGAGAAGATCACTTATACACAAAGGAAGACAGGAAGAAAGGAAAAAAAAAAAGAGAAGAAGAAGACACTAACAAAACAACCAGAAAACAAAAAAACAAAATAGCCGTAGTTAGTCTTTTCCTAAAATAGCCAGAGTCCTTTCCTATCAATAATAACTCTGAATATAAATGGACTAAATTCTCCAAGTAAAAGAGAAACAGTGGTTGAATAGATTAAAAATAAGACCCAACTTTATGCTGCCTACAAGAAACTCAGTTCACATATAAAGACTCATATAGACTGAAAATGAAGAGATGGAAAAAGATATTCCATGCAAATGGAAACCAAAAAAGAGAAGAAGTAGCTATAATTATATCAGATAAAAGAGATTTCAAGACAAAAAGTATAGAAAGAGACCAACAAAGTCATTGTGTAATGATAAAGAAGTCAATTCAGCAGAATTTAAGAATTCTAAGTATCTATACACCCAACACTGGAGTATCCAGATATAAAGTAAATATTATTAGAGCTAAAGAGAGAGATAGACTCTAATACAATAATAGCAGGGCACTTCAACACTCCACTATAAGCATTAGACAGATCATCCAGATAGAAAATCAACAAAGAAACATTAGACTTAATCTGTACTATAGACCAAATAGACATAACAGACATTTACAGAACATTTTCTCCAACAGCTACAGAATCAAGTTGTATACTTATAACTCTTAAAGGAGTTAGACTACCAAAATGCACTTTAAAAAATTATTTATTTATTTATTTATTTATTTATTGAGATGGAGGCTTGCTCTGTAGCCCAGGCTGGAGTGCAGTGACACGATCTCAGCTCACAGCAACCCTTCGCCTTGTGGGTCAAGCAATTGTCCCACCTCAGCCTCCTGAGTAGCTGGGATTACAGGTGCCTGCCACCACACCCAGATAATTTTTGTATTTTTAGTAGTGACAGGGTTTCACCATGTTGTCCAGGCTGGTCTCAAACTCCCGACCTCAGGTGATCTGCCCACCTTGGCCTCCCAAAGTGCTGGAATTATAGGCATGAGCCACCACGCCCAGCTGCACTTTACAAATTAATAGGTCAGCTATCAAACTATCAATAAATATAAACATTAAAACAGGTTATATGTAGCCTGATTATCATGCATATCTATTATTTTGTACCAGCATCCCCTCCTTCACTTCTGGTAATAACCACTCCCCCATCCATGGCTGCTTTTGGAGAAATGTAATTCCACATATTTCTGATGTGATTAGTTGCAGAGGTGGATATGTAACCTAAATTGAGTAAATCAGAGTCCTTCTCTAGGATTTTTGATGGTGAAGTTGGGAAGGAAAAGTTATCTTTCTCCTTTCATCATAAGCTTTAAAACATAACTCAGCAAGTTAGTGGTCTTATCAACCAGAATATTATGAACCCTTGAGACTAAGGACAACACACATGCAGAAATTAAAATGAGAGTCTAAAAGCAACAAGAGAGGAAGAGAGAGACAAAGACACAAAGAAAAAGGGAGAAACAGAGAGATAGGAGTAGGGGGGCAGAGAAACACAGAGACAAACTGCAAGATTGAGACAAAGACAGAGTTTCCTGATATTGTCTGAGTCATGATGTTGTCTAAGTCCAGTTAACCCAAAGGCCAGCCCTATCTCTTCTTTCCTGAGTACTGAATACTTAAACTAATAAATTCCCTTTATTCATTTAAGCGAGTTTAATATGGGTATCTGTCACCTGCAACCAAAAGAAAGGTGGATAATTACTCTGCCAAACATGAGTAAAAGTTATCTGGTACATAAACATTCTATCAGAGGTGAATAAATAGTGACATTTCCTCCCCCTGCATAAGTAAGCAAAAGCACAGAACATATCCAGACTTATTTCCATATACTCATCATTAACCAACCAGGTGACCAGTCTAAAAAGTGACTCAAAATATTTGTGTGCATATGGGTGAGGCAGAAGATAGGCATTATGTGAAAAGCTTGGTTGGTAGGTGTTATGGGTTAAATTGTGTCTCCCCCCAACCCAAAAAAAAAGATATGTTGAAGTCTAACCCCTGTCCCTCAAAAGGTTCACCTTTTTGAAAATAGGGCCATTGCAAATAGAATTAGTTAACTTCAAATGAGGTCATACTGGACAAGAGTGTGCCTCAATCCAATATGACTGGTGTCCTTACAAGAACACATCCATATCTCTTCCTAGGTTCTCGTGGTTGACTAAAAATCTTCAGTGTTCCTTGGCTTGCAGTTGCACAACTTGAATCTGTGCCTTCATAATCACATTATACTCTCCTTGCGTGTCTGTCTTTACATGGATGTCTTCTTGTAAGGACACCAATCATATTGGATTGAGGAACACTCAGTCCAAATATCGTAACTAAATATAGGATGTCAAATTTAATTCAACATTATATATGGGTTATATCCAACAAAGAGAATCATTTTTCTTTTTTTCTTTGAGATGAGGTCTTGCTCTGCTGTCCACGCTGGGATGTGGTGACAGAATCACAGCTCACTGCAACCTTGAACTCCTGAGTTCAAGAAATCCTCCCACTTCAGCCTCCTGAGTAGCTGGAACTACAGGCACATGCCACCGTGCCTGGCTCATTTTTTAATATTTACTAAAGACAAGGTCTCACTATGCTGCCCAGGCTGGTCTCAAACTACTGGGCTCAAGCAATCCTCCCCCGTCAGCCTCCAAATGTGCTGGGATTACAGGTACTGAAACCACCTTTGCAAATATTATAACTGAGGAAATTATGACAGTGAAAGAGATCAGACCTAACCGACTCCATCTTGCTTCTAGCCTTTAAGCTGACCTTGTTCATTCCTGCATGTAGGCTGAACTATCCTTGGGAAGGAATTTAGCTTATGGTTTTTTAGTGCCCAATGGGTTCACCTTGCCCATTGCCTAGACAGAGTTGATTTACCAAGACAGAGCCAGCTGTGCAGGAGACTGGGGTTTTATTATTACTTAAATCAGCCTCCCTGAGCATTCAGGATCAGAGTTTTTAAAGACGATTTGGTGAGTAGGGGCTTAGGAAGTGGGGAGTGCTGATTGGTCACATTGGAGATGGAATCACAGTGGGGGTGAAGTGAGGTTTTCTTGCTGTCTTCTATTCCTGGGTGGGATCACAGAATTGGTTGAGCCAGATTACCGGACTAGGTTGTGTCAGCTGATCCATCTAGTGCAGGGTCTGCAAAATATCTCAACTACTGATCTTAGGTTTTACAATAGTGATGTTATCCCCAGGAGCCATTTGAAGACGTTCAGACTCTTGCAGCCCGAGGCTGCATGACCCCTAAACCATAATTTTCTTTCTTTTTTTTTTTTTTTTGAGATTGAGTCTTGCTCTGTTGCCCAGGCTGGAGTGCAGCGGTATGATATCTCCTCATTGCAACCTCCGCCTCCTGGGTTCCAGCATTTCTCCTGCCTCAGCCTCCCGAGGAGCTGGGATTACAGGCACTCGCCACCATGCCTGGCTAATCTTTCTTTTACTTTCTTTTCTTTTTTTTTTTTTTTTTTTTTTTTTTAGTAGAGACGGGGTTTCACCATGTAGGGCAGGTTGGTCTTGAACTCCTGACCTCGAGTGATCTGCCCGTTTTGGCCTCCCAAAGTGCTGGGATTACAGGCATGAGCCACCACACCCAGTACCTAAACCATAATTTCTAATCTCATAGCGAACCTACTAGTCCTACAAAGGCAGACTTATCCCCAGGCAAGAAGTGGGTCTTTTTGGGAAAGGGCTATTATCAATATTGTTTCAGAGTCAAACCATAAACTAAATTCCTTCCCAAGGTTAGTTCTGCCTGTGCCCAAGAATGAACAAGGATAGCTTATAGGTTAGAAGCAAGATGGAGTCAGTTTGGCCTGAGCTCTTTCACTGTCATAATTACCTCAGTTTTAATTTTTGCAAAGGTGGTTTCGATTCGACTCTGAAACAAAATTCATAACAGCCCTTTTTCAAAAAGACCCCCTTCTTGCCTGGGGGCTAGTCTGCCTTTGCAGACTAACAAATTAGCTACAAAATCAGAAATTATGGTTTAGGGGTAATGCAGCCTGTGGCTGCAAGAGTCTGAACATCTCCAAATGGCTCCTGGGGATAACACCACTACTGTAAAACCTAACCATTTCTGTGATCCCACCTAGAAACAGAAGACAGCAAGAAAACCTCGCTTGAAAACCCCTATGATTCCATCTCCAACCTGACCAATCAGCACTTCCCACTTCCCAAGCCCCTACCCACCAAATCATCTTTAAATAGTAACCCCCAATGCTCAGGGAGACTGATTTGAGTAATAATAAAACTCCGGTCTCCCACACAGCCGGCTCTGTGTGAATTACTCTTTCTCCATGGCAATTCTCCTGTCTTGCTAAATCAGCTCTGTCTAGGCAGCAGGCAAGTTGAACCTGTTGGGCAGTTACAGAATGAGCCACCATGCCCAGCCGAGAATTATTTTTCTAAAACAGGTAGAGATTGGAAGATAAATAAACAGAATGAATAAAAGAGACATTATAACATTTCTAAACTCAGGCTAACATAAAATGAAAGGTAAATTAAAAACAAATAATTCAGGTCAGTGGTCTAGTTCTTGAAAAGCATCACACTTACCCAGAGTTTTACATGCAAAAAGAGCCATGGCACTTTGCAATCTGTCCGGTCTTAGCGCCTGTACTACAAGAATCTTAAAATAAAATGCAGAATATTTTTAAAGAATAAAGTTGCTGCAACTACTTTAACTAAACAATAATTAATGTTAACTAATTAAACAAATGTTTACTAAATATGGGAACACTTATCATTGTTCCATATTATTTACTGTGCTTTAAACTGTCACAATAGGTATATAGCAAGTATATATCAAAAATATTACTGAAATCCATTTACTTCCTCAAGCCTATCATCAAAAGTAAACAGGGTTAGAAACATCTTCTGGATCTAATAAAAGGCTAAATGGCAGGTGAAAATCATGGTACGTAGATGAGGCATTTCTGTTGACAGCAAACAGAGGCCCAGAAACCAGAAATCCTCCCTAAAATTTTCAAATCACTATTTTTACGTTTAAAAAAAAAATAGAAATAGCATCTTGCCCTGTCACCCAGGCTGGAGTGCAGTGGTGCAATCACATCTCACTGCTGCCTCGAATCCTGAGCTCATGTGATCCTTCCACCTCAGCTTCCCAAGTAGCTGGGACTACTGATTCATGCATATCTATGATATTCCTAGATGTTTAAGTTTTCAAATCAATTTTTTCTTAGTCATTTTCCTTTTTGTTTAAGCACTTTTGGGGAAATAGAATTCACTGTATATGGAGACACAAAGGGGTTAGATCCAGAGAAGAGATAAATGGAAAGGTCATTTTCTGGAGCATCAACTTCTGAAGAGCTCTCCCACTCTAAGCTTTTTGACTAGCAAAAAAGTTTGAGCGGAACCTGCCAGTAGGTTTCAACATTCTATTTTAAAATAGAATGGGAAAAATCCCCTGTTACTCACTATTAGGTCTTTTCCTTAAAAATAACTCTGGGAAATGATTGTAAAACTTGTACAATTTGTACCTTAGTTTCTTTCTGAAATACATTTTTCCTATTACAAAATCCCCCTCGGGTCTGAGACAAAAGGAATAAAAAAAGCCACAGTGAGAGAGAAACCAGACCCAGAAACTTTGGCGTGATTTAATTGTCAATAAGGTGGCAAAAGGATCAAGCCCTTCCCCAAATACGCCATTAAAGGTAAAGTAACACTCTAAAAGCAAAGCTTTCCTTTAAATGGCTTCTGAATAATAAGAGAAACATTAAACACTTTTTTGCATTTAGATAACACTAAATTTTACCTGCTGAAATAAGGAAACTTTCTTTGCAAGGATAGATGGAAACTCTTGCTCACACATTGAATTATTATAATAAGTACGCCACAGAGCTGCATCTTCAAAGCAGAGGGTCTGATAAAGACTGGGGAGAGCAATCTAAAAAATAAAAATGGCCATATACAGTGAGCTATAAGCAAATATAAGCACATACATTTATTTTTAAAAAAACTAAAAGTGAGAACCAATTATTGGTTGATGTTTATTACTCTTCTACTTTGTGTTGCCTTGTCTAATTATTTCTAGGTTGGCAACTCTATGGTAAACTCACCTAATATTAAAGCCAGAATTAAAATACACTTCCAAAGTAGTACTAAATCAGTACTCATGAGTTAATCTTTTCTCTATGTAAAAACATTTGTACCTAGCTATCTCCACCTTGTGAAGGAAACAAGTGCTGTCATTAAGATCAAGTGCAAATTTTAAGGATTGTCAAGTTAAGTATGTCAAATTTCATATTAACAAAGACTCTCTTTGTCAAAACTTCGGTCAGGCTCCTCTGAGCTCTCTTTGACTAGGCCTCAATCAGGGGCTTTGTGTCCTGCCTTGTATCCTATTTTAATAAGAATTTTGCTAAGTAACTTTAGCAAGAATCCCTACCTTGAATATCTAATCAAATTCCTCCTCTCAGCCGGGCACAGTGGCTCACACCTATAATCCCAGCACTTTGGGAGGCTGAGGCGGGCAGATCACCTGAGGTCAGGAGTTTGACACCAGCCTGGCCAACATGGTGAAACCCTATCTCTACTAAAAATACAAAAAAAATTAGTCAGGCTGGTGGTGGGCGCCTGTGATCACAGCTACTCGGGAGGCTGAGGCAGGAGAATCACTTGAACTCGGGAGGCAGAAGTTGCAGTGAGCCGAGATCACGCCACTGCACTCCAGCCTGGATAACAGAGCGAGACTCTGTCTCAAAAAAAAAAAAAAAAGAAAAGAAAAAAAGAAAAATTCCTCCTCTCCCACCCTTGTTATCTGTTGGTGTCTGATCATCTTGATCTGCCTTCACCAGCTAAATCAGTTTAGCCAGAATCCCCACTTGCCACTGACATTTCCACTTAATAGTTTTCTATTCACTGACCCCCAGCACTAATCCTTACCCTGCTTCTTGGGTACAAATTCCCACTTGTCCATGCTATATTCAGAATTGAGCCCAGTACTATACTGACATCTCTTTTCCCCTATGGCAATAAAACTTATCTTCAGTTTTAAACTCTGTCAAGCTCTGTTTTTCTAAAACAGTATCAAATCCAAAAACAAAGAATGTTTTTCTAAACCCTATTTGTTTATGTCTCTATTTGTAAATGCCTCTATTTGTCTCTAAATGTTCTAACCCTCTTTGCTACCTCACAAATTTCTATTCCACGTTCAATATTCACTTTAAACAATATCATCTTTCAGAGGCTTTCCCAAACACATTAATCCCTCTACCTCAAACAGTGTTCTCTTTTCCCAAATTTTTCAAGAGTGCGGTGTAAGATCAGAAATGTAAATCTGTAAAGGTGAAGAATTTTCATTGAAAACAAATGAGAAATTTAGAAGATCTATATCTTCAGTATAGAACTTCATATAATATGAACATAAATCAAGTATATAAAAAATGCATTATCCAAACATTTATATTCATATAAAAATAATCCATTATATTGCCCAAATTTCATTATGTAACTTAAATTAAATAGCAGAAAATAAATTACATTTCAATTTAATTACTTTTTAATAAATGATCTAAGCCTATTAAAGTAATGCTTGATGGTGGTCTGTTAACTTTATTGACATTTAGTATACAAGGCCCCATCATTGCTAATGTAGGTGTGCTACACATTATATTATCATCATGTATTTGGCTACCTTGTATACTGTCAACCATTATGACAAGGTAATTATTTGATATGCTCTCTACAATGTAAGTTTGTTCATGGCAGAGTCTCTTAATACACCTGTCATTCCACTGGTATGAACAAAAAACCAGAGCTTGTCAGTAGTTAAAGCATTAAAAACAGATTTTTTTTCAGGACTATTACAATAGAGGAAGCAATAGGCGAAAAGAGACTTCAGTACAGAGCAGGGCTCAATTTTGAATATAGCATAGGCAAGTGGAAATTTATAGCCAAGGAGCAAAGTGAGGTCAGTGGATGGAAAATTACTAAGAGGAAATATCAGGGGTACAGGGATTTCTGGCTAAACCAACCTAATGGGATTCTTGCTGAAGACAGGCCGAAGTCATCAGAATCACCTGGGGAATGGTGGGGAATGAGGAATCTGATTAGATTTCAAGGGTAATCAGATATGGAAGATTAAGAAATTCTCACTAAACCAACTTTGCAGGGTTCTGTTAAAAGTAGCTTTTACAAGGAAGTGCACAGGTGGGCCTAGAAGAAGGTTCAAGAGCCTGACTAAAGTTTGGTCAAGTAAAGACTGTCACTAGCATTATGCCAACTGGTAGTAAGCACCAAATAAATGATTAATGAAAAAAAAATGGAGGATATATAGCAGAATTCCCCCCCCTTTTTTTCATTTCTTTTACTCAACCAATGTTTATGAAATGAAGGCAGTAAAGAGTAGTGGTGAAAAGCCCAGACTATGCAACAAGAAACATAGTTTTAAATCCTGGCTCTACTTCCTAAGTGACCATAAACAAGTTACTATATCTCTATGTGCCTTAATTTCCTCATCTGTGACACAAGGAAAATTACAATAGCTACCTCATGATGTTATTGAAAATATTTAGTGAGATAATACATTTTAAAATTCTGTATAATGCCTTGAACATAGTAAGCCATCAGTAAATGCTAGCTATTCTTACTGTTTTTATCAGGTGCTGTTATAATGATACAACAGTTGTGAAGAAAAGCAGGGGAAGGAACGGAAGGATGGAAACATATGCATAGACTTGTCTTTCATTCCCCACAAAAACAACATTTTAGCCTGAGTAGTTGAAGAACACAGAATTGTTGAGAGTTAAGCTTCTAAACTGCTTTTTCTTCCCCCATGTCACCATTCTCATAGCCTAACTTACCATGGTGGCTGGGGTGGGAAGGGAGAGAAAGAAAATACTGTATTTGGAAGGCATGCTATTTCATAAATGAAAGGTTTAATAATTACTGGTTAAAGGACTAATTACAATAATTCTTTGGTAACTTTTTACTGGGGGAACTTACATCCTATTAAAAATGTTAACACTGATTACGAATAAGGAGCACAAAGTATCAACAGAAACAATGCAAATACAGAAGAAATTAAAACATGTCTCATAGTAGAAAAGGAATACCTTTAATGTTGCCACGGCCCAGCTTCGTTCCTGATCTATCCAAGACGGAAGCTGATCACGTATTTTTTGTTGAGAGTCCTTTAATAAAAGCAATTATTTTCCTTAGTATACTTGGTAAAATTCAGAGTTTAAAAAATAGCAATTGATTAGCTATTTTATTATTTTGAAAAAAATTCATTCTATGCATTATTTCTTTATATTTTTATGTATTTTACAAGTCACCATGGTAAAATTCTATGTAACATAAGGGACTGAGAACCATTTAGGAAAATGTTGCAATCATTTTTTCATTGTGCTTAATCTTTCATGAAACTTCAGAAAAACTCAAATGTCATGAGGAACTGTCATAAAAATTACATTTTTTAAAATTATATCTTACATTTCAGACATGATCTATGTTCCGTGTTATATTTTGGGTGTACTGCTGGAAGACTATTATTCATTATGTATTCAAATAGGAAATTAGTAGGAAAAAAAGCTAAATTTGAATGAAGTTATTAAAAAGTTCTAAAATGTAATTTTAAAACTCCAAGTATATAAGAAAAATTTTCAAGTTATAAGATTTGATTTTCTTAAAGATTATAAAATATCCTTGGAATAAAATACATATACTGAGAAAAAGAAACTGCATTAATTCATTAGTATGACATATTATTCTCAGAATATATGTCTTCAAAGTAAACAAATATACTTGTCTATTTTATAGGAAATACTTAAGAGGCCAGAATATATTCTTCTAATCAAATTATAACTTCAACAATAATTTAGAACACCTCTGAAGCAAATTATACCTCATGAACAAAAAGCCAGAAATATTTTCTTTAAGAGCAAAATAGATTTTGTTATTTTAACTTACAGCTTTCCGTAACATGTCTCCAACAACCACACCTGTAAACGTATCCCATTCCTATTGAATAAAAATATAGGAACACAAAAATATAAAAATGATAACCAGTTAACAAAATTGTCTAACTTTCCTTATAAGATGGCTTAAAATGCATTTTTCTAAGCAGATACTCATTTCCATCTTACCACTTCTTCTAGTATGTTAACATTATCAAGAATGAATTAATGTGACAACATAAAATATTAATATGAAATCTACTAAGAATAATTTTATTAAAACAAAACAACTCCATTATATATATGAGTCTCAATGTCTAAAAATTTAAATGTCATGTTCACTTAACATTTGTCACTACCTGTTAATTGTTTTCCCACAGGCTATTTGTTGCTAATAAGTAGAAGTAAGGTGCACCCAAAAACTTAAAAATGGTATCTGGTAGGAAATATTGAGAAAAGTAATTCCATTAACGCATTTTTTTCTCACTGATTGGGAGAAGATGCCATTAATCTTTTTTTTTTTTTTGCCATAGAATTAAGATTAATCAAGTGTTGCAGAATCCAGTGCCAAGAAAATCTACACCTTCCCCATGGCATCCCCAAGTTAGACAATAATAGGTACTATTTGTGTGACTACTGTCACACACGGGCCAGTAAATAAGCAAAATATATGAAAATTTGAGAGCAATGTGGAAAAACTACCAAAGCAACATATTTTCTGGCTTCACTCACCCTGGCCACACACTCTTCCTATTACAATTATGCAGCCACAAATAAGTAAAATATGAATGATTACTACTACATTATGTGAGTCAGAGAAAAGTGTTCTCCTTTCCCAATGACAATTTGTTTATACTTTAGGAGAGAAAAATAAGGAATATATATATTTCATGGAACATACTGATCATAGTGAAAAATATTAGATAAGAGGAGGAAAAGAAATCAAAGTTAACAGCAGGAATAAACTGGACCAAATTAATAAATTCAGCAGAAACTATACATGTCAGTGCATGTGGAGTCAGAGAAAAACAAAGGGAGAACATATGAACTGTGAATGGTCTGCATTATTTTAACTATTATATTCAAATGAAAGGAACCAGAAAATAGTTAAAATTTGACTAAGTAGAGTAAAGTAAGTCAAAGTTGCACTGTCCATATACCATCCCTTGACACCCTGGCTACTGGAATCTCACTTTATGATAACAGCATCATAATGAGAAAAATTACTTGCAAATAGCTTTTTTTTTAAAATTGTAAGCAGACAAGAAATGGTCTCGTTAGCTCCAGCTCAAGGGAGGTCCTTTTAAAGTTTGAGAAGGGGTTACATGGCAGACTAGAAATGAGATCATAAACAAGGAAGACAAATTATACATAAAAAAATTAACATAAACCTGTAGGTTCAGGAAAACTTCTGAGAACTGCCCATCTTCATGCCTCACCTGCTGCCTCTTGACAGTTCAGTGGAAGCAATAAATAATGTAGTTTTGTACCAATATTGTCTCACTTTTTCTATATGAGCTCTACTACCTAGGCCGGGAAAAGAAGAAGGCTGACTCTTCTGTTGCCCTAAGTAAGTGAACTTGGGTTCAGAAAAATGTAGGCAGCTTTGTAGATTTCTTTCCCTGCTTTACCATCACTCTGGAATGTTAGGCTCATCCACAGGGAAGTAGAACTAGGAATCACCATTTTATACTACATTTCTAACTTAGTAAAAGATTAATAGGTTGATATATAATTTCTAGCCTAAATAATTTCTAATCTAAACATAAATCCACCCATTAACAAATTTCTATGTTACTGTAAAATTTCTCTCCTTTAATTTGACTTACATTTTCTTGAAAAAGTTCAGGATGCATGCCTCGAACAAAATGCAAAGCGAACATCAACTGATCAGCCTGCAAAGAATAACAGATATTATCTTGCCTTTTAAAAATTTGTGTCTTTGGAAAAGCATAGTCGTTAAAATTTGGCACACAAAAATCTCTATTCTGTCTTCATATGACCTACTTTTTTATCGATGTAAGAAATTACTATTCAGATTGCTTTCTACATCTTAGAGACACTTCAAGTCAGGGGTGGGGTCAGAGTAAGTAAGTGATCACATTTTTGGAGAAAGCACTAACAATTATGCAGTGGGCCCATGTCATTAAAAAACAAAACAAAACTAACTTAGCCAGGTGAAACATTAATATAGTTGTGAAATTTGATTAGTCATCATCCACCAAATCCACTCCATGCATTAGCAATCTTCAGTTTGTCACTGTGTAGGTTTAAACATATGGGTGACTACATGCAATTATGACAACTATTTTCTCCTTACTAGATAGATTAATTTCCTAAATCAAACAGGAAACTGTAGTGAACTCTTCATTTTCCACACAAGAAGAAAAGTTATACCAAATAAGTCCAAACAACAAATAATTCCTTCAATGTGTTATCACTTAGAAAGTTAAAACATGAGTAACTAATTGAGGTTAGATAATACAGAAAAAACTATCAGATAACCCAGTACTTCACAGGTAAAACGAAAGCAGAACCAAAAACAGGCTGTCAATAAATAGGTATCAAAAAGACACCAATCACATAGAATGAGAGTTATCAAAGGAGAAGGTCGTATCTACTTTATCAGAAAACTACAACACAGATTATGCTCAGAAATTTCTCAGTAAAGGAAGGAGGAAAAAAAGAAGGGAAGATAGAAAAATAAGGTAGAAATTAAGATTCAGACTTTCAGGAGCAATCTAAAAGACAAAATAAAAAGAAAGAAGGAAGAAACAAAGTCGAAGAATGTAGGAAGTGAATTCAATAATACGCCGCATACATTCCACTGCCGGTAGTCTTAGGAGGATCATACTCTTTGACTTCAACTCTTTGAAATTAAATAATATATTTACAAAGAACTGAAAACTAATTATTTTCCATAAGTAAGAACTGGTTCAATTTTTAAGAACATATTAAATTAAATAAGAGCCACAAGTTTATATATGGCATACAAAATTGAGTAAATAAAATTATGTCTTTATTAAAATATAATAAAACATCTTTCTGGTAAAACAATACTGTGTCAGACATATAGTATGGAAATGGATAAGATATAATTGTAACATGATGTATCAAAAACACCACTCTTAAATACAGGGTACCTATGCAAAATAAGATTTGATGTTTTCATCTTTTAAATGTTGTGGAAATAAACGAACTTGTTTCCATTTATGGGAAGAATGTTTTTAATCCACACAGTATACTAACTCTACTCTCCATGAGACTGGGTAGGCCTTGTTCTCCACTGCAACCCTATTGCCTACAATAGGCAGGTGGATAACAAGTATTTCTTATAAGAACAGTCTCATTACATGGGCATTAAGAACCCACACAGGGCCAGGCATGGTGGCTCATGCCTGTAATCCCAGCAATTTGGGAGGCCAAGGCAGGCGGATCACCTGAGGTCAGGAGTTCGAGACCAGCCTGGCCAACATGGTGAAAATCTGTCTCTACTAAAAATACAAAAATTAGCTGGGTGTGATGGCATGCGCCTATAGTTCCAGCTACTCAGGAGGCCGAGGCAGGAGAATCACTTCAACTCTGGAGGCGGAGATTGCAGTGAGCCAAGATCTCCCCATTGCATACTCCAGCCTTGGCAGCAAGAGTGAAACTCCGTGTCAAAAAAAAGAAAAAAGAACCCACACAGGTCCAGAATCAAGAAACTGGATATAAATTCCATCCCTCCTATTTTACTAGCCAGGTGACCTTAGCCAGAAACAAATTACATCATCTCTCTTGACCTCAGTTTCCTTCTCTGTAACAGGGGACAATAATATTAAATACTATCTACCTCACTGCATTATTTTAATAATTAGATTAGATAATGTATCTGAAGCACTTAGCATGGTACCTAGGACACTCTAAAAGCCCAATAAACATTAGTTATTATCATTTTATTAGTACTAATAATGAATAAAACAGATCCTACATTTTATTTAATCATTATTAATCTTTTTGTCTATGGAACACAATTACCAACTTGCAGGAAATTAAGATAGAAAATCAGCAATTGGTGACTCAGTTCTAGCAAAATGGAAGATGAAAGACTAATTTTCAAAACATTCCAGCTACAAATACCTAAAATCTTGGATAAAAGGTCCTCAAGCATCAGAAAAAAAGAGGGAATTGAAAACCAGAGTGGCATTAAAACCAGCTATGGCTGCCTTAGAGGAAAACAGTCATGGTAACCTAGGGCACAACCTACCAGAGCCAACATAAGGAGAAATATTAACAATGAGATTTCTTTCTTTCTAAAACTTGGGCCCTTAAAGAATTACATTATCAGCAAAAATATGAACCAGAAAAAAGTGCCCATGCTCACAAGAAGCAACAAATATACCTGGAATCTGGGGAAAAGAAAAGCGTCCTCTGAAAAAATTAAACATCATACTTGTGCCGAGCACAGACTTAAGGCATAAATTTTAACAATGGACTGACAGGGAGTCCCTAAACAACAGAACTAATCATGATGTCACTAGGTTACCTGGTAAGAGTCGAGGCAAGCTTGCTTTAGAGAACTACTCCCCTAACCCTGTTCTCAAAGAACTCCAAAAGATAAAGTATCACTGAAGATGGGTTCACGGTCCAAAATTATCAGCAGGAGAAAACAATCCACTATAAGCAAGGGTCATTAGACACATCAGAAAAGAAGACTAAAATGTTAAGAATTTCAGATAATAGAACAATCTGAAAGAGACTCTAATACAAGTATCATTAAATACTCAAGAATGTAAGAAGGGACTAAACATCCCAGAAGTATACAGCGCTTCTGAAAAAGGCAGATGAAGGAGGGGGAGAGAACTTTATAATTGTTTAAATTAGACCCAGATGAAGAAAAATTTGTAAAATATAAGTAAAATGAAAGAAAAACCGAAGGAAATTACCCACATTAAAATAAAATTGGAGCTAAATTTTTAAAAAATTGAATACAAAAAGCCATACATGATAAAATTTGAACACACACTTTGTATAACTATATGAGCACAAATAAATTTGTGAAGAATAAAACCAAATTTTTAACACCTGTTATATAAGGTCTAAAAGGGGGTAACAAGTTGGGGAGAGACTGAAAAGGAGACTTTTTTTTCTTTATTTATATGTATACATTATTTGGCTATTACAAAGAGCATGAATAACTTGTAATTTAAAAAATTAAGTGGCATATGTTAAAATAAGAATTGTAAGGCCAAGTACTTTATAAAATACCTGGTATAAATAAGGTTCAGAGATTTAAAACTCGAATAGATTGCTGTTGAGAATGAAATTGACTCTGTCTTTTTTGGAGGGCATTTTATGTGTTCCTTAACACTCTACATGTCCTTATATAAAGAAATTTCACTTCTAGAAATTTAAGCAAAGGGATCACGTATGTGCTCCTAATAAGAAATAAGGACAGTCATTGAAAGATTGTTTATAACAGAGGGAAACCTTATATAACAATATCCAAAAGTCTATCATAAATAATAATCAAAACAAAATATATACAGCATAATCCATTTTGTAGAAGGAGGAGGAAGATGTTTATAAAAACATACATATATGGATAAACATCTGCAAAAACACATTAAAATAGCAAAATTTTAATCAGTGATTTAATTTTAAGATTATAGGTCCTTTTTGTTTTCTTTATTCTTATGTGTATTTTGCAAATTTTCTAAAAATAAGCTTGTATCATTTGCGTTTTTTAAAAAACCCACTAAATGTTTATTAACAAAAAGAAGCCATCTATTAAGCACAAACCTTCCTACCAAGTTTTAACAGATAATTTATATAGCTTTTCCCATATTGTAATACTTTACATCTAGTATTATATGTATGTGTAATTATAAACCTACAGGTTGGGATAAATATGAGATTAAGTCACAATTTATACAAAACATACATACAATGAAAAGACCTTCCTGTAAGTACTACAAGCAAGTTATTTCCTTGCCTACAAGAAAATCACACCTACATACGTAAAATTTCTTTTATAAAAGTATATATTGGGGATGTGCATGTGTGTGTGTGTGTAGTACTCAATAACTATTTCTTGATTAAGTGAATTAACAAAAACAAACATGTGACCATGTAAAAAAAAGTTCCACATCATATGTCATCAGAAAAAGGCAAATTAAAATAAGTCACTACTATACACCTATGAGAAAGGCCAAAATCCAAAACACTGACAGCACCAAATAATGGTAAGGATGTTGAGCAACAGAAACCCTCATTAATTGCTGGCAGGAATGCAAAAGGGTACAGCCACTTTGGAAGGCAGGTTAGCGGTTTCTTACAAAACAAAACATATTCTTACCATATGATCCAGAAATTGCCTTCCTTGGTATTTACCTAAATGTGTTGAAATGTTATGTCTACACAAAAACCTGCATATGGATGTTTACAGCTGCTTTATTCATAACTGTCAAAACTTGGAAGCAACCAAGATTTCCTTCAGTAGATGCCGAATGGATAAACTGTGGTCCTCCAGATAAAGGAATTTTAATCAACATTAAAAAGAAATGAGATATTACACCATGAAAAAAACATGAAAGAACCTTAAACGTACAATAGTAAGTGAAAGAAGACAATCTACAAAGGCTACATACTGACATACTGTATGATTCCAATTATATGACAAATATAATTAGAATATAATTTGGAACAGGCAAAACTATAGGCAGTAAAAGGATCAGCGTTTGCCAGGGGTTAAGTGAGCAGGAATGATAAGGCAGAGAATATTTTAAGAGCAGTGAAACTACTCTGTAAGATACTAGAATGGTGAACACATGTCATTTAAATTTCTCAAAATCCATATAAGGTACAATACCAAGAGTGAACTTTAATGTAAACTATGAACTTCAGGTGATTAGGATGTGTCAATGTAAGTTGAACAGTTTTAACAAGTGTACCACTCTGGTGCAGGATTTTGATAGTGAAAGAGGCTGTACAGTATGTGGAGGCAAGGAATGTATGGGAAATCTCTATACTTTCTGCTTAATTTTGCCATGAACCTACAACTGCTCTAAAAAATAAACCCTACTTTAAAAAAACACATTCACAACTATAACATAGCCAATGAATATTACATAGATAAATTTTATTTTATTTATTTATTTATTTATTTTTGAGACGGAGTCTCTCACTGTCGCCCAGGCTGGAGTGCAGTGGCGCAATCTCAGATCACTGCAACCTCCACCTCCCAGGTTCAAGTGATTCTCCCGCCTCAGCCTCCCAGTAGTTGGGATTATAGGTGCCCGCCACCACACCTGGCTAATTTTTGTATTTTTAGTAGAGACGGGGTTTCGCCATGTTGACCAGGTTGGTCTCCAACTCCTGACCTCAGGTCTTCCGCCCGCCTCAGCCTCCCAAAGTGTTGGGATTACAGGCATGAGCCACCACGCCCAGCCTACATAAATAAATTTTAAATCCCTCAAAACATAACAGATCTAAGCAATTGGCCATTGTTCAAGTGTGGCTGAAAAACCCCCAAAAACAGTTACAACCAACTAATATGTATATGAAACAACTACCATGAGAATTAAAATACTATAAAAAGCAAGGTGTGTCTTTTGGGAAGATGTGTAGCGTAGTATTCTTAGGTATTAGGTTAAAATTCAGATTTGTAGTTAAATAATGATGAGCTGGAGAAGCTAGTAAGATGAATATTTTATAAATTAATGAATCTTTAAAATGATTATAATAACATATAGTTTAAGGTAAAGAAATACATAATTATCGATAAAGATAAATAAGACAATAAATGTATTAATTCAAAAACGTTATCATTTAATGATATTGTTCAATACTTATAATTTAATGATATAGCAAATTCTTTTCATTTGTTTTGATGTTTGTTTTTACAGACATGGTCTCACTCTGTTGCCCAGGCTGGGGTGCAGTAGTGTGATCATAGCTTACTACAGCCTCAAACTCCTGGACTCAAGTGATCCTTCCACCTTGACCATGCAAAGTGCTGAGATTACATGTATGAGTCACCATGCCTGGCCTAGTTAATTCTTTATGACAGATATATATATCTGTGACACACACAGATATATATATATGTGTGTGTATATATATATATACACACACACACAAACAAATGTACACACAGTACTACTACATTTATTTTAGCCATTTCTTCACTTGTACTGAGGAAGAACAATGTAGTCTCTAGGTTCAAGAACAGAAGCAAAGCCCCTGTCAGTCTATGGTCCTCAGATTATCCACTGGAGTCAGTAAACTAATTGCTAATTATTACTGAGCCCAAAACTCCAAAATGTTGTCAAAAAATAGGCACATAATATGTAGACAATAAGTGGGTAATGGTGGTTACCCTTCTCCTGTTATCTGGTTACAGAAGATATCCTGACCTTAAGAATGAGCATATAATTACGGTGTTGCTCAATCACATCGCAGCACTCCATAGACATTGATACAAGGGTTTCCATGTGACCTCAGACAGGCCAACCAGGATCTTCTTCCTTAATTTTCTAAGCTGGAAATGGCAAAGAAAGCTCTTTTGGCCCTATATCTGGTTGCCTACCTGTACCAATAAATCCCTTCAGCCATAAGTATTTAACAATAACATTATAAAGCAGAACAATAATGATTCAAGAATAATACTAAAAACACAATTTACAGAAAAAGAGAAAAAGAACATGCGCACAAGTGCATGGCTGCATTATTTCCAGTTAAACTGAATTAAAATTAAGAATAAAAAAATTAAGGGGCTGGGTGCCATGGCTTATGCCTGTAATCCCAACATCCTGGGAGGGAGAGGCGGGCAGATGACTTGAGCTCACGAGTTTGAGGCCAGCCTGGGAAAAATGGTGAAATTCCATCTCTACAAAAAGTACAAAAAGTAGCCGCCCATGGTGGTGTGTGCCTGTAGTCCCAGTATTTGGGAGGCTGAGGTGGGAGGATGGCTTTAGCTCAGGAGGCAGAGGTTGCAGTGAGCCGAGATCGCACTACTGCACTCCAGCCTGGGCAATAGAGCAAGACTCTATCAAAAAAAGAAAGAAGAAAAGAAAAGAAAAGAAAGAGAAGAGAAGAGAAAAGAAAAAGAAAAGAAAAGGGGAGGGGAGGGAAGGGAAGGGAGAAAAAAATGAATAAATTAAGGCTTTCTGAATAGTTTTTTTTTTAAAAAAACTGTCAAAATCCAAAATTGAGCAAATATTTTGGTATCTTTAAAATCCTTCATCTATTTTTGCTTTATCAGATCAAGAAATTTGGTCACTTTAATTCAATGACAATTTATTTCAATATACTTGAGTTTTGTTTAAAAATATTTTAATATCAAGGGGATATATAACAAGCAAAATCTCAAGTGAATAACTCTCTAAATGAATAACTACCTAATGAAGAAAAATTAATAAATGACAGTAGGCCATTAGATGGTTTAAGTCAACCACACCTCCCATACATTAAATCCCATACACTCTAGTAAATAATTATAATTAGAGTGAAACTACTAGATCAGGATTAATATGACATTAGGACATCTTAAAGTGAATCTTATAGTTGAGATCAAGTCCACATTTCCAGGCATAGTGGTTTGTTTCAACTGCATCTTATCAGCAAGATAACTTCAGCATCAAGCAGGATGCACTAGAATTTCTTTTTTATTTATTTATTTATTTATTTAATTATACTTTAAGTTCTAGGGTACATCTGCACAACGTGCAGGTTTGCTACATATGTATACATGTGCCATGTTGGTATGCTGCACCCATTAACTCGTCATTTACATTAGGTATATCTCCTGATGCTATCCCTCCCCCATCCCCCCACCCCACGACAGGCCCTGGTGTGTGATGTTCCCCTTCTTGTGTCCAAGTGTTCTCATTGTTCAATTCCCACCTATGAGTGAGAACACGCAGTGTTTGGTTTTTTGTCCCTGCGATAGTTTGCTCAGAATGATGGTTTCCAGCTTCATCCATGTCCCTACAAAGGACATGAACTCATCATTTTTTATGGCTGCATAGTATTCCATGGTGTATATGTGCCACATTTGCTTAATCCAGTCTATCACTGATGGACATTTGGGTTGGTTCCAAGTCTTTGCTATTGTGAGTAGTGCCGCAATAAACATATGTGTGCATGTGTCTTTACAGCAGCATGATTTATAATTCTTTGGGTATATACCCAGTAATGGGATGGCTGGGTCAAATGGTATTTCTAGTTCTAGATCCTTGAGGAATTGCCACACTGACTTCCACAATGGTTGAACCAGTTTACAGTCCCACCAACAGTGTAAAAGCATTCCTATTTCTCCACATCCTCTCCAGCACCTGTTGTTTCCTGACTTTTTAATGATCGCCATTCTAACTGGTGTGAGATGGTATCTCATTGTGGTTTTGATTTGCATTTCTCTCATGGCCAGTGATGATGAGCATTTTTTCATGTGTCTGTTGGCTGCATAAATGTCTTCTTTTATCCTCTAGATCTAAGTTAAAGATTATTAGCTGTAAATCTTAGTTTATTCCTCTGTATAACAGAATTGTTGTAAGCATTAAATGGCAGTATATGTAAGGCACTTAACAAAAGGTGATCAGTAAAATAACTACCTGATATACAGTAAACTGATATACTATATAATAGTCATATCAAATTTACTTCCAAAACATTCCATAAACCCCATGATCCTCAAAGAGACTAAGGAAGCAGTAAAAAATCTAAGTAATTCATTCCTTTTACTTCTACTCTACTATATTTATTGCTTTCAAATATGTTCAATGAAAAGTATAAAAGAAATGTTACCTTGTGAAGAGAAGTCATGCTTTAAGCTCAAAGCAGTTTATATAACATTGAACTTGGGCATTCACATACTGCTTGAGACTAAATCACTCATTTTCATGAATAATTTTATGCACATTCAACTGTATTTTCAGAAAACTCAAAGGATTAGATACAATTCTAGGAGTTTCAAAGTTATTTAAGCAGAAGAAAATTGTGTCACTTATTAAGATTCACTTTAGTAGCCACAAGTTATAAAATTTCTAAACATCCAACCACAGAACTTCCACTTTTTCATATAAGAAAAACTAATCTTCGCAGAAAAAATAGCAGAATCCAAATTAAATTATTTGCACACTAAATACAATCATGTGAGGTTAGTAATATTATACTTTAAAACATAATATATATCTGAATTTTACTCCATCAACAAACAAATTCATATGGAAATGGAGGCAAGGTGAGCGGCACAGACACTAACTTTCAAGAAGTTTGCATGAAAACAATTTCTCCTCATATTCCACCATTTTTCTATGCCATTTCAAATCTAAGATATTAATTCCAAGAAGTAAGGGAAACAGTAAGAATATAGTATTCTAATTCCTGTGGATTCAGTTACCTACAGTCAACAGTGGTCTGAAAATATTAAATGGAAAACCCCAAAAACAAAGAACTCATAGATATTAAATTGCAAGCCATTCTGAGTAACATGATGAGATCATGTGCTGTCTGGCTCCATCCTGTCTGGGTCATCAATTGTCCCTTTGTCCAGCAGATCCATGCCATATATGCTACCTGTCCGTTAATCACTTAGTAGCCATCTCAGTTATCAGATCAACAGATCACAAGAAGGGTGAGTAGAGTACAATAAGATAGTTCGAGAGAGAGAGAGAGAGAGAGAGAGGTACCACATCATATAATTTTCATCACTATATATTGTTACAATTGTTCTATTTTACAATTGTTACAATTGCTCTATTTCACTATTGTTACAATTGTTCTATTTTACTATTAGTTATTATTGTTAATCTCTTACTGTGCCTAATTTATAAATTAAACTTTATCACTGATATATATCTGTAGATATAGATATGTATAGGATAATACCAAAGCCTACATATATTATGTTTTTTCCTATAGGGTTTGGTACTATCTACAGTCCTAGGCACCCATGCGGGGTGTCTTGGATTGTATCCCCCATAGATAAGAGATGACTACTGCACATGCTCCCAATCCTTCCTTCCAACCATTTTCTTTCTTTTATTATTATTATTTTTTTTTTTTTTTTTGAGATGGAATCTTGCTCTGTCACCCAATCTGGAATGCAGTGGCGTGATCTCAGCTCACTGCAACCTCCACCTCCTGGGTTCAAGCAATTCTCGTGCCTCAGTCTCCAGAGTAGGTGGGATTACAGGCACACCCCACCATGCCCAGCTAATTTTTGTATTTTCAGTAGAGATGGCGTTTCACCATGTTGGTCAGACTGATCTCAAATCCTGACCTCAGGTGATCCGCCTGCCTTGACTCCCAAAGTGCTGGGATTACAGGTGTGAACCACCGCACCCAGCTCCAACCATTTTCTGTATACTCACCCTATATAGTTGAAAATGAATACTCCAACAACTTCCATTATTTTGTACCTATTCTAAATTATAAAGTAAATGAAGAAACAATACATAAAGGTACTTAGATATAAAAATTGTTTTATTATAAACATAAGTTTTAGGGAACAAAATATACAATTTATCCTATAATTGTCTGAAATAGGTAACTGAAATAAAAACTTTTGATCTCTTGAAGAAAAAACAATGGAATAGCTAATAATATAAACTGAAAGGTCTAGACAGCTTTCTTTATGTGTTTTAGTTTATTAACAGTCTAAATTTCCTGCTACAAAATAAGTCAATCATGTTTCTGTTCCAGGTCAACTTGCTTTCAGTTCAATGTGATGTGAATATTAATAATCCTAGTCTCTCTCTATTTCAAGAGTCTACTGTTGCCATACTGCTGTCACCAACACAAGAGCAAATTCAGCATGAGAGAAACCTAGCAGGTAGTTTAATGTTACGCTGACTGCTAAAAACCCTAAAAGCTTTCATTAAATATAAAATTGGTTCCATCCTAAGTAAGGTTATAGTGATAAATTTGAGAAATGTATCTCATTGCTATATGATTAATGTGCTTTCTGAATTTTTATTAATCACTGAAACTCTATGGAATGTTGAATTTAATATTACTCAAACAGAAATATGAATTTTCCAAAACAGATATTCCATCATCAATTAAAACATGTCTTAAAAATAGCTTTTTAAAAATGATTTTCACATGTTCACAATAGAAAAGTATTATTCAAAGTAAGCAATGAAAAATCCCAATTGAGTACTAACTAAAATATTAATAAGCTTAAGCCTCTCAACGTCTGTCCTAGTGAACAAAATGCTGCCTTTTGCCTAATATATGCATTTTTAAAAGTTAAAGTAACTTCAAAGAAATAATCCCACTGCAGTCACTATAGTCCACTAATATATTAAATCATTTTATCCTTCCCAAATTACATTATAAAATATGACACAGGGGTTCAAATTTCATCAGTGAATATACTGTATTACTAACGATAAAATGAGAATATATAAACTGAGATAAGACACATAGCTTAGAAACAAGCAACTAACTCCTAATAAGAAAAGCTACTAATATTTCAAATGAACAAGAAGGAAGTTTATATTCTCTTTTGCCATAAACAATTTTTAATAATAATATTTATTTATAACATATCCACTTTCAAAAAAGATTTGGGGCAGCTTAAAATAACTGTAACTCCATAACATTTTCATAAATCACAGCCCATTTCAGTGTAAAGGTCTTAGAAATAAAAATTTAAAAACCATTAAACACATTATTACAAGACTGACCAATAACGAAACTTCGTAGGCTTAATATATTGCCTAGAAAATAAAACAGATTAAAACTACATTTAAAAAAACTACTCATACAAATCTAACAACCTAGAAGTATAAATTAAGTAAATCCAATGATTAAAAAATAGAAGATAATAATTACAGCAAAATAGACTTTTTCTATATAAAGCAAAAGCTTATTTAAAATATCAAGAAAACAGATGAATATGACAAGGTAAGGGAAGAAGGTAGAAATAAACAACTTTAAAAACAATAAGATAACATTTATAAACCAGAGCTTGGTAAAAATTTAAAGGACTGATAACATCCTGGGTTGATAAGGTGCAACAAAGGAGATAAAGATATACCTTTATTATTATGTGGGTAGAGATATTAACTGGTAAAAAGCTTTTCAGAAAGCAATCTGCTAATATTCAATAAGATTTATAAAGCAATCCTTGGACCAGCAATTATACTTACAGAAATTTACTGAATAGAAATACTTATACTATACATAAAAATAAGTGTACCATATAGGATATTCACTATAGTCATGTATAAGAACAAAAAATGTATAAATAATCTAATATTCACTGAGAGTAGTAGATGAAGTAGTACATGGTCATATTATAAAATAGCACACAGTCACTAAAAATAATGAAGTTAACATGTTTATACTCATGGAAAGATCTTCAGGCCTTACTACAAAAAGAAGAGAGAAATTATGGAACAAAATATATAGCAAGAAAAATTTAAAAATTATATCTATATATTTGTACTTATGAATATAAAGAGATAGGAAATGGATGATAAGGAACAAATCAAACCTTGAACTGGTTTACTCTGATGAAGGAATAAGGGATGGAAATAGTTAAATGGATCTTTAAGGTTTCCTTTCTATATAGTTCCATTAAGCTTGAAACTCTAAAAATATTTTAAAGTTTTGTTTGTATAATGAAAAAGTTTTAAGTATTGCATGAGATAATACATTATACAATATTAGACAAAACAGGATATCTATAACTAATGAAACTATCACTATGAAGGTTATCTTCATAATTAGGATCATAACATTTTAGTAACAAAATGGCTTTGAGATCATTTGCTTATAATTTCCCATTTTACACAAGGTAAAATTGAGGCTTAAAAAGTGAGGTTTGGATTATAGTCAAGTGCAAAATCTTTACAAGGAAAATATACAGAGTGGAAGGCAAGATGACCTACTAGATGCAACCAGGTGGAACAGCTCCCACTGAAGGGCCAAGAAGACTGGCGGGCCCTAACAGATCTTCAGAGGGAAAGCACCAAGAGTGATACAGGGAAGACACAGAAGCTCGGTTGAAGGAGGAGAAAGCTGGGAACCCCACCCAGAGCTACTGCACACCTGGACTTGTTCCTGGCCCTCAGTGGCTCTGGGGACTAAGTGAGTTGAACCGGCAAGATGCAACCTTTTCTCGCCACAGGCCTCTGGAACCCGGGCAGGAAAAGATCCCTTGACCACCACAGACACTTGAGTTGGCAGGGAGAGGGGCTTACAGAAGTGGTAGGGGCAGCAAGCCAGCTGATGTGGAGCCCAGGGGGTTTGGTACCGGAGTATGTGCAGCAGAGCTGGCCAGGAATGGCCATTCCCAGCTCAACTTGCTCCCATTGGAGACTTTAGCTCTAAGGGAACTGTTTGTCCTGAACTCTGCAGGGCAGTCTTGCCCATTAGACTGGCTGTTTTAACCTGAGCACCCCTTGGTCTGCTGGCATCTCCGGAAGCCCCAATCTGGCCACGCCTGCTTGCAGGGCAGCCTCAGGTGCCCAGGGGACCTGCATTAGCAGACTGTGCCTGACTGGCAGACAGCTCCAGCAGAGCTGTCTCCATAGCTGTGCACCAGCCCATGCGCTCCCTCCCCACACTCCAGCTTCCCCACGATCCACAGCAACTCCACACATCTTTGCGGTGCATGTATGCATAGCCAGCTTTTGCTTTCCTTGCCATACCAGCATGTGAAAGTGCAGTCTGCCCAACCTCCCACCACCCACCACCATCGCAAAAAGAGCCTTGGCAGGCAGAGAACCAGCTGGCCCCACCCCCGCTAGTGGCTGACTTTTGTGCTAAGACTGCCACTGGAATGGAACTAAGTGCAGAGAAGAGAAGATGCTCCCCAGACCTGAGTGACCGCTCCTGCTTGCAGGGTCACAGAGAAGGCACCCACCTGCACCCACAGGGGCCCTGCCCTTGAGCCAACACCACCTGCAGTGTGATCATGCACACAGTCATCTGCAGGGGCCCCACATGCCCTCCCCGCAGCTGTGCTGCCTCCCCCACCTGGTTAATGCAAGCAGAAAGGTAGGCACTCTGGGACCATTTAGTACCCTGACACAGCTGCTGCTACCACTGCTGCTGGCACTTGCAAACAGGGATGAATCCCACTGTAACCGCACTATGAAACACTTAGGTAACACCACCTATCGCAGTGTAGTGACCAGCGGTCACAGAGCGCCTTGCCCCTCCCACCCCACCCACCCTGACTGCCCTACATGTGGATTCCCAACCACAGTGGATTCCTAACCCCAAGGAGCCAGAGATCAAAGTTGGGGCCCAATATGAGTCCCCCAGAGTTAGGGCACACAGTCCAGGAAATGGGAGATGAGCGCTGGCCCACTAAAATCTTCCAGAAACAAAAGCAGCTAACTAAATCCAGCTTAAACCTCAATCAAACATTCAATGTCATTAAATAGAATAAAAGGAAAAACAAAAAAACCATCGAAAGGTGAGCAACCTCAAAGACTGAAGATAGGTAGGCCCAAAAAGATGAGAAAGAACCAGCCCAAGAAACCTGAAAGCTCAAAAGGCCAGAGTGCCTTCTTTCCTCCAAACAACTTCATCACCTTTCCAGCAAGCAACCACATTGAGATGGCTGAAATGACAGAAATAGAATTCATAATATGGATAAAGAAGATAATAGAATTCAAAATAAAGATCATTGAGCTACAGGAATACATTGAAAGGCAATCCAAGAAAGCTAAAAATCATGATAAAACAATGCAGGGACTGACAGACAACCTAGTCGGTATAGAGAAGAATACAACTGATCTGATACAGCTGAAAAACTTACTACAAGAATTTTATAAGGAATCTAAATTATTAAGAGCAGAATAGATGAAGTGGAGGAAAGAATCTGAGAGCTTGAAGACTATCTTTCTTTTCTGTTTTTTAAAATTTTACTTAAGTTCTGGGATACTTGTGCTGAACGTGCAGGTTTATTACATAGTTATACATGTGCCGTGGTGGTTTGCTAAACCGATCAACCCATCATCTAGGTTTTAAGCCCTACCTGCATTAGGTATTTGTCCTAATGTTCTCACTCACTTTTTACCGCACCCCCCAACAGGCTCCAGTGTGTGATGTTCCCCTCTCTGTGTCCATGTGTTCTTATTGTTCAACTCCTACCTACGTGTGAGAACATGTGGTGTTTGGTTTTCTGTTCCTGTGTTAGTTTGCTGAGAATGATGGTTTCCAGCTTCATCCATGTCCCTGCAAAGGACATGAATTCATCCTTTTTTTGTATCCTGAGACTTTGCTGAAGTTGCTTATTAGCTTAAGGAGCTTTTGGGCTGAGACGATGGGGTTTTCTAAATATACAATCATGTCATCTCCAAACAGAGACAATTTGACTTTCTCTCTTCCTATCTGAATACCCTTTATTTCTTTCTCTTGCCACTTTGCCCTGGCCAGAACTTCCAGTACCATGTTGAATAGGAGTTGTGAGAGAGGGCATCCTTATCATGTGCTGGTTTTCAAAGGGAATGCTTCCAGCTTTTGCCCATTCAGTATGATACTGATATTGATTCACATTCGGTATGACATTGGCTGTGGGTCTGTCATAAATAGCTCTTATTATTTTGAGATACGTTCCATCAATACCTAGTTTATGAAGTTTTCAGCATGAAGGTGTGTTGAATTTTATTGGAGGCCTTTTCTGCATCTATTGAGATAATCATGTGGTTTTTGTCATTAGTTCTGTTCATGTCATGGATTATATTTATTGATTTGCATATGTTGAACCAGGGATGAAGCCAACTTGATTGTGGTGGATAAGCTTTTTGATGTGCTGCTGGATTCGGTTTGCCAATATTTTATTGAGGATTTTCTAATCAATGTTCATCAGCGATATTGGCCTGAAATTTTCTTTTTTTGTTGTGTTTCTGCCACGTTGTGGTATCATGATGATCCTGGTCTCATAAAATGAGTTAGGTAGGGGTCCCTCTTTTTCTATTGCATGGAATAGTTTCAGAAGGAATGGTACCAACTCCTCTTTGTACCTCTGGTAGAATTTGGCTGTGAATCCATCTGACCCTGGGCTTTTTTTGGTTGGTAGGCTATTAATTACTGCCTCAATTTCAGAACTTGTTATTGGTCTATTCAGGGATTCGACTTCTTCCTGGTTTAGTCTTGGGAGGGTGTATGTGTCCAGGAATTTATCCATTTCTTCTAGATTTTCTAGTTTATTTGCGTAGAGGTGTTTATAGTATTCTCTGATGGTAGTTTGTATTTCTGTGGGATCGGTGGTGATATCCCCTTTATCATTTTTTATTGCATCTATTTGATTCTTCTCTCTTTTCTTCTTTATTAGTCTTGCTAGCGGTCTATTTTGTTGATCTTTTCATAAAACCAGCTCCTGGATTCATTGATTTTTTTAAGAGTTTTTCATGTCTCTATCTCCTTCAGTTCTGCTCTGATAGCTGTTTCTTGTCTTCTGCTAGCTTTTGAATGTGTTTGCTCTTGCTTCTCTAGTTCTTTTAATTGTGATGTTAGGGGGTTGATTTTAGATCTTTCCTACTTTCTCCTGTTGGCATTTAGTGCTATAACTTTCCCTCTAAACACTGCTCTAGCTGTGTTCCAGAGATTCTGGTACATTGTGTCTTTGTTCTCGTTGGTTTCAAATAACTTATTTATTTCTGCCTTAATTTTGTTATTTACCTACTAGTCATTCAGAAGCAGGTTGTTCAGTTTCCATGTAGTTGTGCAGTTTTGAGTGAGTTTCTTAATCCTTAGTTCTAATTTGATTGCACTGTGTTGTGAGAGACTATTTGTTATGATTTCCGTTCTTTTCCATTTGCTGAGGAGTGTTTTACTTCCAATTATGTGGTCAATTTTAGAATAAGTGTGATGTGGTGCTGAGAAAAATGTACATTCTGTTGATTTGGAGTGGAGAGTTCTGTAGATGGGGTGGAGTTAGGTCCGCTTGGTCCAGAGCTGAGTTCGACTCCTGAATACCCTTGTTAATTTTCTGTCTCATTAATCTGTCTAATATTGACAGTGGGGTGTTAAACTCTCTCAATATTACTACATGGGAGTCTAAGTCTCTTTGTAGGTCTCTAAGAACTTGCTTTATGAATCTGGGTGCTCCTGTACTGGGCGCATATATATTTAGCATAGTTAGCTCTTCTCGTTGCATTGATCCCTTTACCATATGCAATGCCCTTGTCTTTTTTGATCTTTGTTCATTTAAAGTCTGTTTTGTCAGAGACTAGGATTGCAAACCCTGCTTTTTTTTTTTTTTTTTTTTTTTTGCTTTCCATTTGCTTGGTAAATATTCCTCCATCCCTTTATTTTGGGCCTATGTGTATCTCTGCATGTGAGATGGGTCTCCTGAATGCAGCACACCGATGGGTGTTGACTCTATCCTATTTGCCAGTCTGTGTCTTTTAATTGGAGCATTTACTCCATTTACATTTAAGGTTAATATTGTTATGTGTGAATTTGATCCTGTCATTATGATGCTGGTTATTTTGCCTGTTAGTTGATGCAGTTTCTTCATAGTGTTGATGGTCTTTACAATTTGGTATGTTTTTGCAGTGGCTGGTACTGATTTTTCCTTTCCATATTTGGTGCTTCCTTCAGGAGCTCTTGTAAGGCAGGCCTGGTAGTGACAAAATTTCTCAGCATTTGCTTGTCTGTAAAGGATTTTATTTCTCCTTCACTTATGAAGCTTAGTTTGGTGAGATATGAAATTATGGGTTGAAAATTCTTTTCTTTAGGAATGTTGAATATTGGCCCCTACTCTCTTCTGGCTTGTAGGGTTTCTGCAGAGAGATCCCCTGTTAGTCTGATGGGCTTCCCTTTGTGAGTAACCCGACCTTTCTCTCTGGCTGCCCTTAACATTTTTTCCTACATTTCAACCTTGGTGAATCTGATGATTATGTGTCTTGGGGTTGCTCTTCTCAAGGAATATCTTTGTGGTGTTCTCTGTACTTCCTGAATTTGAATGTTAACCTGTCTTGCCAGGCTGGGCAAGTTCTCCTGGATAATATCCTGAAGACTGTTTTCTAACTTGGTTCCATTCTCCCCGTCACTTTCAGGTACACCAATCAAATGCAGATTTAGTCTTTTCACATAGTCCCATAATTCTTGGAGGCTTTGTTTGTTCCTTTTCATTCTTTTTTCTCTAATCTTGTCTTCATGCTTTATTTCATTAAGTTGATCTTCAATCTCTGATATTCTTTCTTCTGCTTAATCAATTCAGCTATTGATACTTGTGTATGCTTCACACAGTTCTTGTGCTGTGTTTTTCAGCTCCATCAGGTCATTTATGTTCTTCTCTAAACTGGTTATTCTAGTTAGCAATTCCTCTAACCTTTTTTCAAGGTTCTTAGCTTCCTTGCATTGGGTTGGAACATGCTCCTTTAGCTTGGAGGAGTCTGTTATTACCCACCTTCTGAAGCCTACTTCTGTCAGTTCATCAAACTCATTCTCCGTCCAGTTTTGTTCCCTTGCTGGCAAGGAGTTGTGATCCTTTGGAGAAAAAGAGGCATTCTGGTTTTTGGAATTTTCAGTCTTTTTGCGCTGGTTTTTCCTCATCTTCGTGGATTTATCTACCTTTGGTCTTTGATCTTGGTGACCTTCGGATGGGGTTTTTGTATAGATGTCCTTTTTGTTGATGTTGATGCTATTCCTTTCTGTTTGTTAGTTTTCCTTCTAACAGTCAGGCCCCTCTGCTGCAGGTCTGCTGGACTTTGCAGGAGGTCCACTCCTGACCCTGTTTGCCTGGGTATCACCAGCAGAGTCTGCAGAACAGCAAAGATTGCTGCCTGTTCTTTCCTCTGGAAGCTTCGTCCTAGAGGGGCACGCACCAGATGCCAGCTGCAGTGCTCCTATATGAGATGTCTGTCGACCCCTTCTGGGAGGTGTCTCCCAGTCAGGAGGCACAGGGGTCAGGGACCCACTTGAGAAGGCAATCTGTCCCTTAGCAGAGCTCAAGCTCTGTGTTGGAGATCCGATGCTCTCTTCAGAGCCAGCAGGTGGGAATGTTTAAGTCTGCTGATGCTGCGCCCACAGCCACCCCTTCCCCCCAGCTGCTCTGTCTCAGGGAGATGGGAGTTTTATCTATAAGCCCCTGACTGGGGGTGTTGCCTTTCTTTCAGAGATGCCCTGCCCAGAGAGCTTCTGAAGGATTTATTCTGTATCTCAAATAAAGATCCTCAACAAAATCACAAAAATTACTATCCTGTTCTAAAAATACATTAACTGTATATTTTTCAACACTTTCTAAGAAGCCTATATAATTGAACCATAATAATTCTATTTCTCTGAATTAATTGCCTTTACAAAGCTATTCTGCAACATTATGTCTTAAGCTATACCCACAGATTGCTATTTAAAAAAAAAAAAAATTCTGGCTGGGCATGGAGGCTCATATCTATAATCCCAGCACTTTGGGAGGCTGAGGAGGGCAGATCACATGAGGCCAGGAGTTCGAGACACCCTGGTCAACATGGTGAATCCCTCTCTCTACTAAAAATACAAAAGTTACCCAGGCATGGTGGTGCACGCCAGTAGTCCCAGTTACTTGGGAGGCTGAAGCAGGAGAATGACTTGAACCCAGGAGGCAGAGCTTGCAGTGAGCCAAGACTTCGCCACTGCACTCCAGCCTGGGCAACAGAGAGAGACTCTGTCTCCAAAAAAAAAAAAAAAAATTCTAAGTACAAAAAGGCCTCTGCGTTTTCTAATATCTAAAATTTCTAAAATATTGTCCGATGTGTGTTCTCTTCTGGAACACACGTAATATGAAGACTTCTGTAAAAAATTTCATAACTCAGGATCAAACACTAGTTTACTTCCTAATGCTAACAATGCAAAATAATTTTGTTCCTCAACCCCAGAGACATTGGACAATGTCCACAGACATTTTTTATTCTCACAATTGATGGGAAGGAATGCTGGAAGGCAGAGATGCTGCTAAACATCCTAAAACGCACAGAACAACATCCCACACACAAAGAATTATGTAGCCCAAAATGTCAGTTGCTGAGGATGAGAAAGTCTAGCTATATAATGAGATACATAATCCATTGTCATTATCTCTTTTGGTGACCACTGGAATATTTAGAACTAAGTCAGCTAACGCAGTGTTTGCTGTCCCTTCTTCACTTGTCACTTTTTTCCCCACTACAACCAAGAATGCTATAAGGCATTCCAGTTAAATGTTCTGGAAAAATACCAGAAATACCATTTTTAATACCTTTCCAGTAGGGAAAGAGTTATACTATAACTATAAATATTACGTTAAATCACAGAACAAGTAGTATTTTATATTTGAAAAATATGATGCTTCTTACCTTAAATAGACAACGACATATATATTCATATACCATATGTTGTAATGAGCTGATAAGTGACTGGATTCTCTGTTCTGTATTTTCAGAATCCTGTAGATTATAATTGGAAATTCATTAGGAAATTTATAAACATTTAAAAAGTACGCCTATAAATTGTTCCTCCAGATTCAAAGCTGATTCTGAAACAAGTATCTTTAACCATCAAATTCAAGGGACTAAACAAGTGCATTAAACTTGTATACTAATATAATATTAAAAAATGACGCATCTTTCTTTAATGTATAGAGTTAAAGCTTTCAAGAAATGAAAATTACAATCAATTCCCAATAATACAATATAAGTTGAATTTTATATCAGTCTCCTATCAGCATTAAAATACTATCTACATCAATCTAGGTTAAGGCCATTTTAATTATTTATATTATAATTATCAATCCAGCCCCAAAACAATATGACAAGAATACCTTATAAAGAATTTTCTCATTCTCAATATGGGAACCTCAATGATCTTAAATCATGTGCTGCAGGATGAATAAGGATGAACAATAACTTTGAAATTGATGCTGTAAAAACTCACATAAAATTTTAGTTTTTGATCTGATATAATAATTCCGTTTTGCAAGATTGTAATAATTGAAAAACATGTTATTAGTGTCTATTTCCTTTGATTAAAGAAAAATTGTTTGGCATAGAAATGGAGGAAGGGTAGGTTGTCAACCTGTCCTTTTCCCTTAGTGTGATGTAAGTTTTACATCTCAGAGCATTTGGAGAATACATGTCTTAGGAAGATCAATTCTGGTATAACAATTAGACTAAATTTGCTTGCTTCCTTGTGATTTATAAATTAATACCAAGAAAAAAACCTAGTAAAACAATTTTAATGCTTAGAAAAATACATCCAGGATCAGCAAAGAAATGTGTGAAATTGGTATAAAGAAAACATTATGAACTGGAACTCAGATGCATTAATCCTAGGCTTCTAGCCTTGTAGTAGCATGTTCTAACCAAGACAACTAATCATTACTTTAGATAGCAAATACTTGTATTCATTTCACTATATGTTAACAAAGATCACATATGAAATTGAGACTTGGATTTCCTAAAAGTCACTCTATCATAAGACACAGTACTGTACCTACAAGATCCAGTAGATTTTTTAAACAGCAGAAAGTTTTGTACTCTACATAGATTTGTGACTGCTTCAGCCAGTACAATACAGCAGAAATGACACAGACCTAAGGCTGCATTTTAAAAGGCTATTCAGTTTCAGCCTTATTCACTGAAACACATACTTAGTGCCTTGAGCTAAAAAATAAGAAGTCCATCCATCTACTCAGTGCTGTGAAAAAGCCAAGCCTCCTGCAGAGGTGCTGCAGTTGGCAGTCCTGTCGTCAAGTCCTCCCAACCCACAGCACCAGGCGGGCAAGTGAAGCACCTGTCTTAGCCCCTCAACTCTCAAGTCCTCTCAGCTGAGGTCCTAGACGTTGTGAAACAAACAAAGTCATCCCTGCTGAGTCCTGACTAAATTTCCAATAGAATCAATAAGCATAAGAAAATAGTTTTAATTGGCCAAGTTTCGGATTAATACGATACTCAACAGAAATAATTAGAACAATGTGCATATATGGGAGGTGGTTAAATAAAGTATGGTATAGCCTCACCATCTCTTAAAAACATTAAGTTTATATTCACTGGTAGGAAAGCTGTCCATAATACACTAATACACTTTTTAAAGCACAGTATTGTATCTTTTAGTTAAAACAATTTGTTATCCTTTAATACATACTTCCCTCCATTAGAATACATGCTTGATAAGGCAGTGGACAAGTGTACCTCCATTATCTGGAAAGTTACTGCCTTAAACAACAAGGATATATAATAAAATGTTAAATGTTGTTTTCCCCAGGTAATGATATTATAGGGATAATTCTTATTTTTATACCTTTCAGAATCACTGGGTTTTTTAAATGATTATATATTACTTATTAATTTATACTCAGAACATAAACTGTTTTCATTAAAAAGATTGTCACATTGGGACACCTTGTTAACAATATAAAAAGAAATTAAGTAGTTTCTTTATATAGCTTAAAAGTGTTACATGTGGTCTTTTGGAACATAATTCTATGAAAGTTTGCTTAATAATTTTTATTATAAATTAAGTACTATCCCTAGTAAAGTAATCCCTGTAATTCAGTCTCTGGTACAGGGTATCCAACAGCTTACCTGTTTGTTTTGTAGAGCTCGTTGGAAAAGTCGGAGAAAAGCAGCCAAACTAAAACGGTACATGTTATTAATTTTGGACAAATCAGAAATAATGAAGTACATCTTGCTGGCACTCTCAGCCAGGGGGAGATAGGCATCCCGTTCCTATGGATCAAGAGATCAGTAGGGGATAGGGTGGAAACACCTTAGAATTAGTGCTTTACTGCCACCTAAAGACTACAATGCACATATCTACCCAAGTAATAAAAAAACCTTACTTTTTCTATGCACATAAAACAAATGAAGATGATGAATCATGGTTTCTAACTAAAAAAGATAGCAAAATCTAGTTTTTCTTCCTCATTTTTATAAAACTGCAAAGAATATATGTCTTAGTCTATTAAGGCTACCTATAACAAAATACACTAAACTCGTTCTGCTTTTATATAGCAGAAATTTATTTCACCCAGTTCTGGAAGCTGGGAAGTCCAAGATCAAGGTGCCAACAGATTTGGTGTCTCGTGAGAGCTTGTTTCCTGGTTCACAGAAAGAACTGCTTCTTGCTGTGTTCTCACATGCTGGAAGGGGCTAAAAAACTCCCTTGGCCTTCTTTTATAAGGTTACTAATCCCACTCATGAGAGCTCCACCCTCATGACCTAGTCACCTTCTAAAACCTCCACCTCTTAATACTATTACACTGGGGATTACATTTCCACATATGAATTTTGGGGGTGATGAGGACACACAAATATTCAGACTATAGCAATATATTTTAAACACCTTTCTACCTCTCAGTTGACAGAGCTAGAAGTGGTTCACAGATTGGTCTTAATGAGGACCAACAGCACTAGTATTAGGGGAAAGTGGGTAAGATGAAATGGTAAATATTTGTGATCAGAGAATAGATGATCCAATTTTACATTTCAAAAGAGAATCAGTTAAGGTAACGCAAGACAGCACAGCGCTATCAGGCTATCTCTGATGTGAAGAAAAGTTCGAACTATGAGTATAGGATTGGTGACAATAAGAACACTGATGGAACTAGAGGTAGAGAAGATGACTCTAACAGGTGTCCACATTAGGATAATAAAGTACCCAGCACTGTTCATTATAAGCATGAAAAGAGCCAATAACTGTACCTTAGAGCTTATAACCCTTTTAATTAGTATATTTAACTTGCCTTAACTTAAGAAAAGTTCTAAGAACGGCAAAGATATTCTCTAATACTCATTTTCAATATACTCATTTCCAATTTTAGTACAAAACTGCAGCTCTACCTTAGATAACATTATGCCAGAAATCAGTAGAAGGCAGCAGGGTATACTGACAAACACTCCTTATCCTCAGTGTGCCAACATCTGAATTCCCTCTCTACAATAACTAGAATCAAACCCAATGTTCTGATGTTTTTGAATAGCTTTTTTCTTTTCACATCATCTTTCCCCTGAGGACCTGATTCTACATTTTCTATCATATTAACCTAAATGTTCAAGAAAACATAATACGAAATTACAAAGAAGGAAATAATTACTTGATCAAGGGAAATTTGGAGTTTGTAAGATTCTTTAAGTGACTCTTGAATAAGTGCACTGCTTGCTTTTGTCTGATTCAAAGACTCAATCAAATCCTTATTTTCCAAAATATTGCCTTGAGATGTGGCAAGTGTCTGTAGGGAAAGTTAACAATATGAATATTATTATACATATAAAAATAACCAATTAAAGCAAACCCATATTAACTGTCATTCATTTGATGTTTATGGCAACTTATGTTATTTTAGAAGAATTTCAACATTTTATAGCCCTCTTAAAGTTTTATTCTGTTTTTATTATAGTCTTCTTATATCAAATGAATTCATAAATTATTTTAAGAAATTATATCATTATCAAACATAGCAAGGTATTAATTTTGTCAATTTAATAAAAAATAAAAACTACTTAAAGTTACAGATTGTTATAATTTCTTGCTTTCAATGCTTCTTGAAATTATTAGCATATAATTAAATAATAAAACAATACAAATTAGTTAAAAATTGCTTGTCTTAAACATTGCTCATTAAGATCTTGTATTCCAAAACATAGCTCCCCTTCTTGTTAGAATTTTGACTGTAAGATATACACTAATATGTCTTTGGAAAAAAAAATCTGAAGATACTATTAATTTTCCAAACACTGTTATTTGTATTCATTAAAAAAAAAGTAATACGAAAAAAGTAACCTAAATAGCTAGACTTTTACCTCTAGAAGAGATTCTTCGAGCTTGGCTAGCTGTATTTTCTTATCTTCTTCCTGTTGTAATAGTTTTGTTTTCTGTTCTTCTAAATCAGGTTTCTCATGCTGAATGGTTAAAGCTAAAAGCTTGGGATAACAAAAAGACAAGGTAATTCTAGCAATAAGGCTTAAAACAAAACAAAAACTTCCTGCAAACAGGCCTTGTGTTTGACAGACTATTACAAATATGATACTATGTTATCTCATTTCATTCTTTCTAATTAAACATAAGACACCTTCAACAATTACATCTGATGAAAAAGAGACAAAACAGTTAAGCTGATCAGTAAAATATTAACTACTGTAGAAAAGCTGTAAGAAAGTGCATTACTTAACATATCAATGTGTAATATTTAGTTTTAAATTAAATATACTAAATTATGAGATTACTATTTTTTTAATAGTAAGTATTCACATTAACAAATAAAAAGGGCCAGGCATGGTAGCTCACGCCTGTAATCCCAGCACTTTGGGAGGCTGAGGTGGGTGGATCACGAGGTAAGGAGTTCGAGACCAGCCTGGCTAACATAGTGAAACTCCATCTCTACTAAAAATACAAAAAATTAGCCAGGCGTGGTGGTGGGCGCCTGTAATCCCAGCTACTCGGGAGGCTGAGGCAGGAGAATAGCTTAAACCTAGGAGGCAGAAGTTACAGTGAGCCGAGATTGCGCCATTGCACTCCAGCCTGGGCAACAGTGCCAGACTCCGTCTCAAAAAAATAAAATAAAATAAACAAATAAAAAGATAAAATACTATGTCATCAAAACCACAATAAGATACCACTTCACTCCCACTAGAATGACTACAATTAAAAAGATACATAACAACCAGAGTTGGCAAGGATATGGAAAAAAGCGGAACCCTCCTATATTTCTGGTGGGAAAGTAAATAGTGCAGCCACTTTGGAAAGATTTGTTTCTCAAATTGCCAAATATAAAGTAACCATAAGACCCAGCAATTCCACTAAAAAAACCATTGAATTATACATTTTAAATCAGCAAGTTGTATGGTATGTACATTGTATTTGTTAAAGCTGTTATCTGTGAAGCTGTTGAAAAATGCTATGTCAAATTGTTAACTCTGAATACTAAAATAGAGAAAGACATTGGTATAAAATATGTAATTCAAAATCTGCTGTATAAGCATCTTCATTTAGTTCTTGCTAAGTAAGACCTACATAGCTCCTTTTTTGCAACTACTGTGGAGATCTTTTACACAGCAGGAGCAATTCTGTCAATTAATTCTGCCAAGTTTTGAATGATTGTCACATTGTTTTATTTAAAAGAAGTATCATCAAGTCAATCAAAAGATATTGTTCATTAAAATATACTTGATGAGTCATATGGTATACAAAGAAATATTTTGAAAGGACAATTTTAAAAATTACAATCAAGTAAAAATTGCAGCAAATATGTATGCTATCATATAAATCAAAAGATGAAAAAAATCTACTATTGTTAGATGAGTAAAAAATAGGATGATACTCCAAAAGTCAACTGGCATTATATCTTTAAAGGGGAAAAAATGAGTTAGGAAACATGTGAGTATGGACATGAAAAATCATTTTGAAATTTATGTAATAATTCTGAACTGTAATGAGCCATATGAAGATAAATTGACTTCAAAGATGCCATGTGTTCTAATGGTTAAAAAAAAATGCTGGCTCAGGAATCAAAGACTCTTAACTAGCTGAACAAGTCAATTAGCTACACTTTTCACAATTAAATTTCAGTTTTCAAACCAAAAATATAATGCAGATGATCTTTACGATCCATCAATCTCTCAAATTCTACCACATATAACAGAAATAAACTTTAAAATTAGAGTTATATTAAAAGGAGCAGCAATTTGACATTAGCATCAAATGTACAGGTCTAATACATATGATAAATGAAATAAGCCAGAATGCTTCACTCCAACATACAAGTATTATTTTCAAAATCATAAATGTAAATACTAATTAGTCTAACAAAATAGCTTCTCACTCACAATGTCTAATAGGTATATAAAGCTCGAAAAGATTCCAAGGTAAATTATTATTATCTATGTATACCTGCCCTCGTAATCCACTTCTTGTTGTAGTAAAGTTAACCTCAGTAACAATGGAAGCTGCATCCGGTGGAATAAAAGGATTTGGGTTTCTTGTTGACAAAAAGAGGCGGAATTCTTCATTGTAGTCAATAATTTTGTCACCTATTTGTACCACATAACGTGGTCCTATTTAAAAAAAACACACAATTGGTTGGTCTGAATCTTCTGTATTTCACTATACAATATTTGAAAATATAATTTTTAAGTACTTCTAAATATAGGCTTTTCGACAGAGTCTAAGACGGCAAAAGTTGGGTTACCTGAGATACTATTAGCAGAATGTTCTATTTATCAGCACTTATGCAAGCAATGATAAATAATATTCACTAAGAAGATCCTGGGATACTGAAGCACCCAAGGAATATCTATTCTCATTCAGTATGGTTTTAACATTAATATGTTTCATATTCCAGATTGCTCTGAAATGGCTGATTATAGATGACAAAAATAGAAATCCTCAATTATATTTTTTCTTTACTTCTAAATTCATCATTTTAAAAGTGTTTATTGCACTAGTATTTAAGATACAGTATTTGAAAACAGAATGATGGTTAAAAAAACAGATTATCACATGAGTAACTGAAAAATACACATTATCAACAAAATGAAAGAATAACCTAAAAACTTGGAGTTATTTATAAACCATATATCAGATAAGGGGTTAATATCCAAAATGTATAAAGAAAAAACTCATACAATTCAATAGCAGAAAGATAAATAACCTGATTAAAAAGCAGGCAAAGGACCTGAATAGACATTTCTCCAAAGAAGATACAAATATGGCCAACAGCTATATGAAACGATGCTCAACATCACTTATCATGAGGAAATGCAAATCAAAACCACTATTAGATATCAACTCACACCTGTTAGGATGGGTATTATCAAAAAGACAAGAGATAACAAATGTTGATGAAGATACGGAGAAAAGGGAATTGTTGGTGGGAATGAAGACCAGGGCAGCCATTATGAAAAATGGTAGGAAGGTTCCTAAAGAAATTAAAAACAGAACTACCATATGACCCAGCAATCTTTTTTCTGGGTATATGCCCAAAGGAAATAAGTCACCACCTCATAAAGATATCTGCACTCCCATTTCTTCACAGCATTATTCACAACAGCCAAGACATGGAAACAACCTGAATGTCCATCAACAGATCGGATAAAGAAAATGTGGGTCAGGCACGGCTGCTTATGCCTGTAATCGCATCATTTTGGGAGGTTGAGACGGACGTACCACTTGAGACCAGAAGTTCAAGATCCATCTGGGAAACATACTGAGACCTCGTCTTTGCAAAAAAAAAAAAAAATGTTTTTAATTAGCTGGGCATGATGGTATGTGCCTATAGTCCAACATACTCAGGAGGCTGAGGCCAGAGGATCATTTGAGCCCAGGAGTTCGAGGTTACAGTGAACTATGGATCACACCACTGTACTCAAGCCTGGTGGGCAACAGAGTCAGACCCTGTTCTAAAAAAATGAAAGGAAAAGAAAAGAAAACATGATGTGTATACACAAACACCCACATGCACACAATGGAATAATGTTCGGTCATAAAAAAGTAGATCCTGCCATTTGCCATAACATGTATAAACCTGGAAAACATTATACAAAGTAAAGTAGGCCAGACACAGAAAGAAAATTACTGCTTGATCTCAAATATATAGAGACAGAGAATAAAACAGTATTTACCAGGGGCAGGTAGCAGGGGAATGAAGGAGGGGATGGGAGATGTAGTCAAAGAATACAAAATAGCAGATATGTAGGATGATTAAGTCTAGAAATCCAATGTACAACATGAGGACTGTAGGTAACAAAACTATTGCATTTGGGATGTTGTGCTAAAGGAGTAGAGTTTAGCTGCTCTTGACACACAAAAAGGGGGCTAGCTGTGTAAATTGATAGATATGTTAATTTGCTTTACGACAGAAAAGCATTTTATGATATATATGTATCTCATAATATAATGCTGTAAATCTTAAATATGCACAATAAAATATTTTTTAAAAAACCCAACAAAAAAGTTGAAAGTTAAAGAATGGCAAAGTATATACCATGTAAATACTAGTCCAAAAAGTTTGTGTAACCACTCTAATATCAGACTCTAAAGCTTGAAACATTTATAGAGATAAAGAAGAACATTTCATAATGATAAATAAGACAACTGAATAGAAAGATGTCACATTTCCAAAAATGTATGCATCTAATAACATAGCTTTCAAAATATTTAAAACAAGAACTGACAGAACTAAAAGACAAATTCAAAATCACAGAAACTTTAGGATATTTATCTCAATACACGATAAAGCAAAGAAAAAAAATAAATTAGGGCATAGATTTGAACATCACAATTAACAAACTTGACACTATTAATTAACCTGTACAGAAAATTAAATGAAGCAAGAGCAAAATTCATACAATTTTCAAGTTCCATAGAACATTTATAAAAAATAACCAAATGCCAGATCAGAAAGAAGGCTCAACAGAATTCAAAAAATTAAAATACTTTACAATAAGTTCTATGACTAAATGGAGATAAGCTACATATCAATAACAAATATGTAACTAGAAAATCTCCAACCACCTGAAAATTAAACAACAAAATACTAAGGAATTTATAAGTTGAAAAAAGAAACTGAAACTTGGGTAGGAAGCTGAAGAAGGGCTTAAAGGAAAATTGATAGACATAAATGCATATATTAGAAAAAAGAAAAGACTATCAATATTTTGATTTTCCATTTCAAAAATCTAGAAAAGACCAAATAAAATTTGGAGAAGTGATAGGAATGAAATAACAAAGAGCAACATCAATTTTAAAATACAGTTCAGAAAATCAACATTAAAAGTTGGTTGGCTACGCACAGACTTGGGAAATATGGTAACATTAGATAGTGGGATTCCAAAAGTGAGGGGGGATCGCAGGCTAAAAAACTTCCTCTTGGATACTATGTCCACTATCTGGGTGACGTGATCAATAGGAGTCCAAACACAGCATCATGCAATATACGCTTGTTAAACAAACCTGCATATGTCCCCTGTGAATCTAAAATTAAAATTTTAAAAATTGAAAGTTGGTATTTTGAAAAGATTAGTAATATTGATAAATCCCTATCAAGACTAATCAATGAAAAAGATAATAAAAATTATCAATATCAGGAAAAATGAAACATCATTACAAAGCCAACAGACATTGAAAAGATGAGAATATTATTTAAAATATATATTATGTGATAATTTAGATAAAACAATCACCTAAAAAAATACGACTTAACCAAAGCTGACAGACACACAAAAAACACAATAGAAACAAAACAAAATAATCCCAGTGTTTAAAGAGCCATAGCTCACGTTTACCAGCTCTTTACAATGAAAGATAGAACATCATGGGAAATTGTGCATTATGTCAGTACAAAGGACTTAATAGAGGCTTGTTAGAGGATTTTGGCTTGTGTTAGGCGATTTATAAATAATTCAAGAAAAATGTACTTTTCCTGGGAATTGGGTGTGATCAGAAAGAGCAAACAATGGTTTAGTATCTTAATTTTTATGTATATGTAAGAGAAATGGAGTGGGACTAAACTATCATTGGTAAAGAAGCAGGAGTCACTCATATTAACTGGGAGAAGAGAATGTTTGGTTATTTTTGTGTTATGGAAAGTGTTCCTGTTTTTTGTGCTCAAACATGACTGCAGTCAGAGTGACCTCTCTGATGTTGGTGTTTTATGAAATGATTTATGTTCAACAGGAGTACACAAAGTCCAAGCTATTAGAATCTGGCCAGATCTCAGTCTAGAGTAGTCAGGTGCTGCTTTTTTTCTTTCTCATTTACTCAAAGTACAAAAAGAAGCAAAACTTCTCTATGCTGTTGTAAGTTAGGAATGTGGTTATCCTTGTGGAGAAGAGGTGTAGTAAGTAAGTGGGCTTCTGGAGTGCTAATAAAGCTCTTATGTCTTGATCTGGGTGTTTATACAGGTGTATTCAATTTGTAAAAATTCATTAGCTATAAATTTAGGTATTCTTTTCTTTACGCATATTTATTTTTAAATAAAAAGTTAAAATAAAAAAAGTTTTTCTTTGGTGAGTAGAACTAGTCATGGGAGGGGAGGAACAGAATGCTGCTGCACTTCTGTATCATTTGACTTTACAACCCATGCATGTACTACTTTGATAAAACATTTTTGAAAATATTTTAAAATAAATATTTTATTGTCTAAAAAAGACTCTTCAGTGTTGTCTCATCTCTTATTCATAGAAAATATCAAATGTAGAACTATAGAGTCCAACACAGTCTTAACTGTATGAATTCTTAATTTACATTGGAATTAACCTGTGATGCAGTTAATTTTGACTACTTTTTTCCTCTGAACACAGAATCTGTGTTGTACTTTAGATAACTAAAGACAGCATGATTGGGCAAGGTACAAGAGTTGGTCTCTGGGTCCTTTCCAGGGAAAGTGCCAATTTACATGGCTATTGTTTTCTGAACCAACATAAGGCTTGGATATTTTGTTTTTTTGTTTGTTTTTTTCAGTCAACGTGTACAACGGAATGAACATTTGGGGTGCTTGGATACATGGATATATTTAGATGCACTCACTGTGATATCTTTGGTTACTTCTGTAACAATCAGATAAAGATTCAGGCAAGATCAACCTATAAGGTATACCCAAATCCTATCAATATTTACAGCTGAAAGAAATGTATTATGACAGAAAGTGCAAAGGAATCTATATTTTTACACCAGGCAGGGGTGCTCCACAATTTTATCTGTCTGAATTTTGGAAACCAATGCTGCTGAAGGTTTACTATGACCATTCAAATTTAAACCAGGCAGTGGCCACCATAGATTCCATAGTACCTGACATAACAATGAATATAAAAACTGCTGTCATAACTGATACTTAGTATGCAGACTGGGATATTGCTAATTATTACTAATTATTTCTCTTTTATATTCTTTTCAAAAGAAGACCAAAATCAGTTCAGCTATTGTATGCAGGACACCTTTATAGGTCCAAACACTTCAGAAATATATTATCAACTGAGTTAGATGAATTCAAGTACCATGAGAACCTCCATATAGGTCCAAATTCCATTCCATTATGTAGATAAAATTTTGATAATGGTCTCCAGTGGGAAAACTTTTCACATTGTATTGCATACCACTCAGGCACAACTCAAGATGAATGGGACTTAATTAAAGGCAAATCTAAAACTCTGGCACCCAAAGAAGGAAATAAACATTTCACAAGGAGATATCCCACAGCCCATTATAGACCAACTGCTTGCGTTACAGCCACTAAATACAAAGAAAGAAAGATAACCAACATCTGAATACCCTCTTGGCCTATAAAAAGCAGCATGTTCCATACCTGGAAATTTCACCATAGCCCCTATATCTTGTCAACAAACATGGCTAGGTTTAAATCATAGCCCTTGCAAGAGGCACCTTTGGAAGTAATTGAGGCAACTGTAAATCAATCCTTGTCTTCGGTCCCTATACCCTTCAGGTACACCAAATTACAGATATCTACAAATAATCTTACAGATAAGCAAATCCAATGCAATGCTATACCCATCAACTAACCACAGGTACAATTTCTGGCAATCTATAGCATTGGATATTCTGTACAATGAGCTCACTTCAAGTAGTGTTCCTGGCTAGAAAATATGCCACTCTGAGACCAACTAAAATATACCTGTCCAGAGACTCATGGGTTGGAACTAGTGAACTAGCTTAAGGTTTCTCAACCTTAGCAGTATTAACAATTTGTTCTGAGAAATTATTTGTTGTTAGGTAGTTGTCCTGTCCATTTTAAGATGTCTCTAGCATAGTGGCCCTCCACTCCAGCTGTGACAACCAAAAATGTCTCCTGACATTGCCAAATATTCTCTGGGAGACAAAACTGCTCCTAATAGAAGAACAGTGATCTACCAGTCTTCGGGCCATTGGGTCACCCAGAAGCAATTGGACTACGAAAGACACATCCATATGGAGATATACCTCTTGAAAACAGAGACAACAATTAATCACAAATTTAACCTTTATGTTGCATGTACGTATGCCTGTCTCTGTAGGAACCATGCCTAAAAGGAGGCATCTGGACTAAAAGAATCAACCACAAATGTTTAGCTGTCATCTCTAGTATAATTCCTGGTTCCATACTCAAACTCAACATGGAAATAAAACAACCATAAAGGATTAGAATGCTTAATAGAAGATACTTTTGATGTCTGTTGTTTGTAAAATGTAAAACTATTAGCCAACTACACTAGCCTCTCCCTCAACAACTTCTATACAGTTAGCTGGTCCAATTGTCTTCAACTATTTACCAACTGCAAACTGCCACATCTACCTTCTGTCTTGGCTGAGCTCCTAAGCACATAGGAAACAAAGTAAAAAAAAAAAAAGGAGAGAGAGAGAGAAAAAGAGAATTTGAAGAAGTATACCTTGCTTTTCTACGATCAATAAATAAGATTTTTGACGAGCATAAATTTGTAGGAGAGAAGTACATTCTATTCCTATATTTATGTCTGCTTTAAACACAGTAAGTAGAAAAGTAATTTGTATATCTTAGATTAAGGACACTGGGATGTAAACAAACTTGGCACAAACTTTGTTTTATGTGATTCTAGGACTACCATCCTCTGTCCCCAGAGTTAATGTATGATGAAAAAATGGCAACTCATGAGGAACTTATCACTCTTGAAAAGGACAATATCTGGAATATACACAAAGGGGATAACAGACTAGTGTGACACGAATACATCCAACCCTGCGGAGAAGATGGAAAAAGTAAGATAGGGGCAATGGTTAACTCTCTTTTCCTAATTCTGACATAAACAAATTGACCTAAACAGGCTTGCATAACTACCTAGAACAGTTCAAAATGTGAACCAATCATGATATAAAATTTATCACTCTTTTCAGGGGATCTAGTCAACACTCTACACTCAGACAATGCCACACATACCATTAAAACCTAACACTAACCAGAACTCATGGAGATTTATATTTAATGAGTCCTTCAGGACCACAGTATAGAATGAAGAATGGCAAATTGAGATGGCCCTAAAGGTTCATTTCCTCCTCCTTAAGATATCATAGCAAGAAACTAGCTCAGCAGATCTGAGTTACCCCCAACAGAAGGACCAGAAACTGAGCTCTGGAAGACAACTCCATTCTAGCAAGGTCACTTTCTTGATTACAAGCTTCTGTTGTTATACAGTAGCTTAGATATTCCCTGCCCTTCATGCCCATAAAATATATTAAGAGGATAATGTTACAAAGGCCCCACTACTTGAGTTCTCATAACATATCAACCAGTACTAGGCCAAACATATCAATGTGAGGGACAATAGGTTATCAGAGAATAGTGCATGCTTTGCTATTTCTCTGCGTTGCCCCAATAACATCAATTTTCTATTTAAAGTTTGCTGTGCTAGCAACGTATGTGGCATACATTCACGTACGTATATGTACACGTCTACATATGTATGTGTATACACTTTGCATGATATGCTCTTTAAGTTTCAAGGCATAGCCTTCTAATCATCCAAGACTGGGCTGGGTTCCTATGCAGAAAAGAATTAACATAGCAATCCTGAGACTCTTTAGAAAGGGCTACTTGTAAAGTTGGCCCATAACCAGCACCTGGGAACTTAGCTTTTGGGAGAGTTCTCACCATCCTCAGAACTCAAAAAAGTGGCTCACTGTGCCTAAACTGTTTGTACAAACAATATGGTTTATGCTACACCTGCTTTCCTTCAGGGGGTCTAGAATTTTGTAATGTGCTAGGGAGAGTGTGCTTACGTAATCAACCCCCAGTAAACTATGGGTACTAGGTCTCTACTGAGCTTTCCTGATAAACAACATTTTACACATATTGTCACAACTTTACACATATTGCTGAAGGAAGTAAGCCCATCATGTGTGACTCCACTGGAAGAGGACTCTTGAAAGCTTGCACCTGGTTTAATTACTTACTTTGGAAATTTTAAAAATATTTACACTCTGGAAAGTGTCAATTATTTACCTTGAGCAACCAGATCTCGTCTCAATAATGGATAAAGAACAGGTTCTACACCATCCATCTCTTGTATAATAAGGGTTTTCCCAAAACGTACTGCTAATTCAAGAGCTGTGATAAAGTTACTATCCTAATTGAATAAAAAAGAATACGTATTAATTATTTAATTACTTTAATATTTACAAACATCCTTTCTTTGATTTTCTACAGTAATTTCAAAATGTTATAGAAACACAATTTCAGATTCTATAGGTAATAAATTACTCACCCAAGTATTAATAAGAACCCTACTCTGCTTATGTTCAGAATCACACATTGAATGGGGAAAAAAGGCAAGATGATGAATTCTAGTAAAATTTTCTTGGTGGATAGGTCTGATAATTCTGAAAAGAACCTTTAGGCAAAATTCAATAATCAAGAATTTTAAGGCTTTCTAGATAGGGAAGGAGTAGTTTTAAACATCACCCCAGGCGTGTGTATGTGTGTGTGTATGTGTGGTATGTGTGTGTATATATATATGTGTGTGTGTACATATATATAAAAGTAACTATATAGTTACTTATATGTCTATAACTATGACTATATATAGATATAGTACTTATATGTATATAACTGTAACTATAGATATATATAGTATATTTATATACTTATATGTATATAAGATATATAGTATAGTGATATATGTATATAACTATAACCATAGATATATAGTACTTATAATGTATATAACTATATAGAGATATATAGTATACTTATATGTAGTCATACATAATATTGCAAACCATAAATGATTTGCATATATAGTTATATATAATATTGCAAACCATAAATGATTTGCATATATGCAAGCCATAAATGATTATTAAAGTATTTTATATATTATTTAATTTATAATTATTCTTATCACACAAAAAATAAGGTAGATATCCCCATTTTACAAGTAAAGTAACTTTTAGAGGTAATTTTTGAAACACCTGAAAATTATCTATGAAAATTAATCATATATTAGGTCTTCCTTTAACAAAATAATAACCTAACCAAAAATAATTTCCTCTGCAAGATAAACATGAAACTGAGAAGTCACTACCAAAAAGACTATGATTATATTTCACTGAACAATTATCAAATCTTGGGATACATTAAAGATGTCTGTCAATGAGTTAAAGAAATTGGAAATTATGAGAGGCATTCAGAGAAACTGTAAATATGCTAAAAGGCTAGAAGGCTTTTCCGATTCTCCAAGCTAACTTAAAAGCTCCTACTTCTACAGCAGCTTATACTTGTGTCATTAGTCATAACGTAGTGCAAAGCTTCTTTAATTGTTTCTCTAACCTACTAGACTGTCATCTTTATAAGGGAAGGAACTCACTATTAAATTCCCAGGGCTTAGATCAATACCCAGAATCAAATAAATATTCTTATCTATTTTTTACAAATTAGAAAACTGAAGCTAAGAGTTATATCTCTCGCCCAAGGTCCCATACAGTAGGACCCAGTGTTGAATCTATGTTTTCTGATTATAGACTCCAAGATCTTTTCACTATAAGAGGTCATTCCTAATTGGTATGTAAATTATAAATAATACATACCTGCTGATTGATAACTTCTAAACGTGAGTCTTTCAAATGTGTTTTTAACCACTCTGTAGCTTGGGAAGAAGGATCTATAAGAAATGGGCACACTCGACTCTAGTATAAAAAAAAGGAAAAGTAATGTTTTTTAATGATTATAAGCTTTCATTTAAATGGAAATAGTTTTCTAGAAATTATAAATCAATTACTAAATGATCTTTTCTCTCAAGCTTTGGAGAACACAAATATACAACCATGAAAAAGAAACAAAAATACAGTTTTTAGCTGCATCACAAGCCATATTAACAAATCTTCAGTGACCAGGAGTTAATATTAGGTAATTACATTTAGCCAGAGTATAGAGAGTACAGTCCTACTTAACACAAAATAACACAGAATATCTGTACTAACATTATGCTAAGCAAGAGCTTTAGTCTCAAGCTGATGTCATTTGCAGCATTCTTTTTGGCTTTTATAATACACAGTCAAATTATTCTCTATTTATCTATCTATCTATCTATCTATCTATCTATCTATCTATCTATCTATCTATATTCTTTGTTTGAATAAAAACTATAAAGGCCATAAAAAGAAGTATGAGCAAATCATTAAAACACTGCTAATTATCAATATAATTGTTCACATTTTAAGACATTAATTCTTCTAAAGCAGTATATATCCAATATTACTAAAGGAGTATCCTGGAAGAGAAAATTACATGGGCTGTAGGTTAAGATCTAATGAAATGAACTAAAAACTAAATTCATTATAGAACATCCTGCACTAATTAAATTCTAAAAAAAAGGAAGTCAGGCCCGGTGTGGTGGCTTTGGGAGGCTGAGGTGGATAGATCATGAAGTCAAGAGATCAAGACCATCCCAGCCAACATGGTGAAACCCCGTCTCTACCAAAAATACAAAAATTAGCCAGGCGTGGTGGCGGGCGCTTGTAGTCCCAGCTACTTGGGAGGCTGAGGCAGAAGAATCGCTTGAACCCTGGAGGCAGAGGCTGCAGTGAGCCAAGATCACGCCACTGCACTCTAGCCTGGCGACAGAGACTCCATCTCAAAAAAAAAGGGAGTTAGAAACCAGTGAAAATGCCCTCCACACACAATGGCACTTAGTAGACAGAAGAAAGCCAATTATAAATGTATAAAATGTATATCATATGTATGATAAATTTAAAAGTCATTTAACAATCATTGCTACCTACTAAAATTTAAACTGATCTAATTTTTCTTAAGTTTTCACATTTATTTGAAAAATGTAATGCAATTGTGTGCTATAAGAATAAGAGAACACATATGAAAGTCAGAGTAAGATGAAAACTTAGAATGGGGTACAGCAGTCCCCCTTATCAACAATTTATTTTCATGGTTTCAGTTACCCATGGTCAACCACAGTCCAAAAATAGGTGAGTACAGTATAATAAGATATTCTGACAGGCAGAAAGAAAAACTACATTCACTTAACTTTTATTACAGTATACTGTTATAGTTGTTCTATTTTATTATTGTTGTTGTTAATCTCTTACTGTGTGTAACTTATACATTGAACTTTATTATAGTATGTATGTTTAGAAAAAACATTGTATGTATATATATGCATGTATGTATATCATAGTATGTATGTGTATATAAAATAGTATGTATGTGTTATATAAAAATGTATAACCCCATATATAAATATGGGGTTCAGTACTACCTGAACTTTCAGGCATCCACTGAGGGTCTTGGAACACATGCCCAGGAGAAAAGGGGGGAACACTGTATATCTAATAAGAACATACAGGTTATCTCAGTGGCACACCAAGAGGGAGGGAGATAGTGGGAATTATCTGCCCTGTGGACGAATAGTTTTATATCACCAATGCTGTTTACAATTGCTAGCACACGGTGATATTAAAGAGAAGAACGACTTTAAAACAGCTTTATTATTATTATTTTAAAATGGTCCACAGACAAGGTACCTTGTTTTCACTTGCACCCACAGTAGACTACTCCCATCATACCTCCTGCCACGTTACACTGTATGAGCATCACCCAGCATCTATTTCTAGAGATTTCACTTACTGCTCCATCACGTAAATGTACTACTCGAAGCACAATGATGTGGTTAGTAAATAGCCTGTGAAGTGTTACCATGGTGCTGCACCTAGGTTTTTGATCTAATTTTATGCTAGCATTCAATAGCACACATTTCACAATTCTGCATTTTGCCTAACTACAAAAGTAATTATTTTAAATTTTTAAAAAGTTCTTACCCATGATTTCAAACCAATGATCTGATGCAGTTAAATGAAAAGAAGAAAGGTAACATTTCAAAATGTTTTTAGCAAAGAAAACATGCTTAAGTTTTTCAAAGGGTACTTAAAAGTTTGTTGTCATCTTATTTTACGTCTCCAGACAGATTTAGATAAGATTTCTATGGTACATTTTATCTCTGTATTCCATGATTAAATATAGTTAAATTCTACAACTATACTCAATCCAAAAATGTTGAGCTTTCATTTATTTACTCATTTGTTCGTTACTTCATCTACTATATGTTGGATAACAACTATAGTAAGATAGTACAAGGAGTACAGAAATTAAGAAAATACATTCCCTTAACCTCAATAACTTTACAGGCAATAAAGATGCAAAAATAAAAATTTCATCATCAAGAGGTGCACAAGTTGCTACTGAAGGATGATAGGTGAAGTTATGGCTAGAAAACAGTTCAAGTCAAACTAAGACAAGAGAGATCAGCTAGGCAAAGAAGTGAAGAAAGAAAAACATTTCAGGCAAAAACAACAGCATGATATAGAGGGGAATAAAAAGGTTTGGAGTATTTGGAAAACTTACAGTACTCCGGTGTAGCTAAAGAAAAATAAATATGGGAAAAGGTGATGCATATAAAATGGCAGGAGTAACCTGGAGTCTGTCTGATCATGATCAGCTTTTTATGCCATGTCTAAGGATAATGAAATTTTTATACTGCAGACAATGGGAAATCACTAAAATATATTAATTGAGGCAATATTATGATCGGATTAATGTTTTAGAAAAATCACTCCAACAACAGTAAAGGAAGTGGTACTGGAGACAAGGAACCAGCTGGTATAATGATATATTTATCCACATACAAAATGATGAAGGCATAAATGAAGCCACTGGCAATGGAAGTGATTAAAACAGGATGAATTCATGAGATATTTGAGAAATAGATTTGAGAAGATTAGTTGAATAACTGAATAAAAAAGTAAAGAGACATAGTAAGAATGACGTTCAGGGTTGTAGCTTGCATTACTGAGAAAAGACTGTGATATCTCTGGTGGTAGAAAATAAGAGAAGCAGGTTATAGGCAGTGAGAGAGGAAGAAAAATGAGTTCTATACTAGAGAGCTACCTTGCCTACCCTGCATATCCCACTAAATGTATTTCTGATGGGTTATCAATATGATTAGATGATCTAAGCTAACCAATCCGAATCCTTTTGGGAGACTGGCATATTATCTATGGTGCAGAGGGAGTGAATGACACATCTTCAGTCTGGAAACATAAACTCTAATAATGGTAAACATGGAGTCACCAATGGACAAGGTTAACAAAGGGTAAAGAGAACCCATCTGAGAATGAATCCATCTTATAAAATGGAGGCAGAGATCTCCTGGTAAAAATTATTTTAATTCAGAAGCTTGCCCCAACCTTTTAGACATCTCAGCTATTTAAAAGCATAAATTGCTAGTTTTTTCCCTTAAATGTGCTATAACTGGCCACTGGAGGATTTTTGACTTAAAAAATGGTGAATTTAGTTAAAGGCTGATAAATTTTGAGCTGCCTAGAAAGAATGGGTAAAAATATCTAACAGGTAGTTAGAACTGTAGGTCAAGAGTTCAAAAAACAGGTTAAAAACTAAAGATACATAATCTCTATTTAAATTCTTCTCTCCTTGGGGGAAAAAAAGATTGGTCAAAGGATATTTTTGAAAGAGATAATTTTTAAAACACCTAGTACACCCTATAATGTTATGTCTATTTTCAATACTTATAAATGGGACAAATGCAAAAACATTTTATAAATAAAACTAAAGCCTAACTCTTGATTCACTAAGGAGAGTTACATTAACAAGAATATAAAATAAATAAGGTTACACACACACACACACACACACACACACACACACACTCCTATGAGAAGTGTATAGACAGGAGCTAGGTGGCCTGGGTTTGAATCCTGGCTCTACCACTTGATAGCCATGTGACCTTAGACAAGTGAATTAACTCTTCTGTGCCTCAATGTCCTTATCTATAAAAGGGATAACACATGAATCTAACAGATTGGGTTGATTTGAGAATTACATGAGTTATGTGTTTAAGTGCCTTACCTATTTATTCTTAAACAGTAATATATGCACAACATGGTAAGTAATACGCAAGTATTGATTATTGTTATTACTTATGTAAGGATTGAAAAACTTTTTCCTATGTGGAGAAGTTAACTTTAAAGTTGTAAATTTACCATTATAATTTTATATTCTTAGACTAGTATCACATTAGTTTGCATTTCCTCAGCATATACCAAAAGGCAGCAAGAAAAAAAAATCTATGAAATTTTGAGTGGTTAAAACCAATTTGACACTGAACTGTCTATAACAATAAAACACAAATATTCAATAGATGTCATCACAAGAAAAACCCATATAAAATCTGATATTTTAATTAGTCATCTTCTCCACTTCCTTTCTTGATGCTTTTCACTCACACCTTCTCCATAGTTTCTAACAGCCTTATTATACTTTCCATTATCCACTGAGTTGACCAATATTAGATCATATAATTTATCACCCAAACCAGGACACTGTTGAGAGTGAAAGGAAAACTATTAATAATTGTATCAGGACAACAAGTGCAAACCATAGACCAAGCAATCCAGGACATATGATCACTATGGCCAAATTTTTCCCTGTCTCTCAAATACATAGGTCACATGAGCTTTCTGCTAACGTAGTAAAACTAATTCCTGTTGTAAGACCAAGGGTATGTAAGGATTTGACTAATTACTCTCTGCGGCAATACATGCACTTCAATAGTTAGCTTAACCTAAATATGAGAATTTTAAGCATCTTTGTAAGACCAATAAAAGAATAGTTTTAGACACAAAAGCCTTTCTTAGCAAAGCCTCCTCCGCTGAGAGGGAGAACCTCAGAAAAGCTTTAGCATTGGGGTGTGTGTGTGTGTGTGTGTGTATGTGTGTGTGTTTTGAGAAGTTTCACTCTGTCACCCAGGCTGGAGTATGCGGTGGTGTGATCTCGGCTCACTACAACTTCTGCCTCCCAGTTTCAAGCAATTCTCCTGTCTCAGCCTCCTGAGTAGCTGGAGTTACAGGTGCATGACAAAATGCCCAGCTAATTTTTATATTTCTAGTAGAGACAGGGTGTCACCATGTTGGTCAGGCTGGTCTCAAACTTCTGACCTCAAGTGATCCACCCGCCTTGCCTCCCAAAGTGCTGGGATTACAAGCATGAGCCACTACACCAGGCCAGCTTTAGCATAGTTAATGAGGAGATTATATCTCTGAATCACAAATGCATATTATTTATCATGTCTAGCCATCTTTTCCCAGAAGCCCAACTAATATATATTTACAGATTTAATTTTACGTACATGGTGATGTTAATGAGTTGATGTTACAGATTACGTGCTATCCAATCACACCCTTAAACTACAACTAATTTTAAATCTAGTACACCTTAAAACTGAGATGGAGTGTCGACCATAACAGCAAATTCATTTCAACGAAATAACTAATTACCCTAAGAAATGTTTCCAATGATTTTTGTTTTGTCATATAAATGCAAGTAATTATCTAAAAGGAACTTAGCAATGTTAAATACAAAGTAAATTTAAGCTTATTAATTTCAAAGGCAATTTCCCATATCCATCATGAAAGACAATTCAGAATACAAAACTAAGCATTTTCAATTAACATTGGTAAAAAAATTATTCTGATAAACATATTTTGTCTACAGACTTACCACCCTCCCCTTGTTTCTTATGGAATAAAAAAGAATTCTTAAACCTTTTTTTTTTAATTTGCAATCAATTGCTTTCTTGGATTATTGAAACAGGAAAAAGATGTGGCTATGAAACCTTAGGGAGGGAATAACAAATATAATAAAAAGCATATAGTTTGCTATAATGTAATACATTTATTTACATAAGCATTTAGAGTTTCATATTTGTGATTCCATTGTGAAAATAATAAAAAAAATTTTAAAAGTAAATTTAAAAACAGGCAAAATCAAATTAATAGAAAGCAAAACTATTCAATTAGTGGTCAGCAACTTCTCTACCGGTAAGTTACCAATACAGTGAGCTGAAGCATAGTCAGCTGATTAATAGGTCTAATAAAACAGAACAAATTATCAAGTAATGAACAGCACCTAAAATATAAATCTTATAATACAGTTTATGCTACATAAAGAGGAGCATGTTTAATGTTCATGCTTTCTTTGAGACTATGGAGTTAAAAAATAAGAATAAGGAAATAGTGTGTAGGCAGAGAGAAGGATTACTGAGAGGAAAAGGAATACTAATATTTATTATGAAATATAAACTATTGACAGAAAGAATAGAAAAATCACATTATCAAGAAGTAAAAATCATCTTCCAATTTCCATATCAAGAAAAGTAAACCAAGTTAATGGGAAAAATCAAACTTTATTCAAGTGATTATTTATTTGTGTACATGGCTTTGAATTTGGTTTTCACACTCACTGATAATAAGGTTATGCTATTTTCCATTTTAAATAGCTTTGGAAAATGTGCACTATGTGACAAAACAAATTTCCAAATTATGTGTATGATTATCTCTAATTGATAAGCCAAAACTTATCTTCACTTTTTGCTAATTTTGTTTGGCAAAATAAAATGAAATAAAAACATAAAATTTATGAAGTCATATATTCTAGTCTGTACTCATGAAGAAACTATATAACCAATGAATTGGGTATCCCTAAAATATTTCTATTACTATTAGGAAATACAATTTAGAATATTTTGCCATCAAAAGAATGCCACTTTATACTTTTATATTAAGGTAAAAAATAAATTATACAGAAAGTCTTACACTCACTAACTGAATCATTGATGGGTTTTCATTAGCAAAATATTTTTATTTTAGTAAGAAAAGGGTAACTGTGAAAGACTAAGAATACGAAGAACACAATTTCTACAGCAAGCTTGACAATAAAACATTTCTAATAAAAAAATTAAAATAAATTAACTACCTGTAATATTACAAGAGCATTTTCTATGGAAAGGTCATCTGATGGTAGGCCTTCACTTTTCCAAATTAACTGCTCACTTTCAGTACAAAGAAATCTCCTCAGATCAAATTCTGAAAAGTTGAAGATATTGATAATACTTCACAACGATCTTGTACTTGATGAAGGGAAGGAAATAAAGCTATTTATTCCGAAACAAAAGTCCTATGACAGTCCTTACTTGAAACCCATTCTTCCACATTTAACACCCAAACCCACGGAGAAAAAAGTCTAAAACAAAAACAAAAAGTGCAAAGGAATGGAACTCCACGAAGTCCTATTTCTTTGAGTGACTGTTTCACAAACTAAAATAATTTTGTAAAATACCACTAACATCACAAAGAATTTTAAAGTTCTTGCATCTCAGCCTATGAAATAAAATTATTATAAAAATAAAAGTAACATAATGTTTAATTGCATCTATGCAATATCAAAAATAATTCAGTCATCTCAGTTTTTTACAGTGATTTAAGAATAGAAAAATCATATTAATAAAGCAAATTCAAGAACATTTGTGGAATTCAGCAAATCTAAAGTAGCTAGGGTATCCTTGGAACCCATATAAAATTTCCCCCATTTAAAAAAGGTAAAATAACAGAGAATAAAGGGTCTATTTTTAGTATATTGAAATTTTAAATTCAGGAATAACTAAATACAAACTCTCAAGATCAGGAATAACTAAATACAAACTCTCAAGACCAGCTGACTTGGTCCATTCTTCCAAACAGGTTTTTCTCAGAGATTCAGGAGCAGCAGAAAGATATGTAATAAATGCAGCAGCAAGTTGAGCTCTTTTAGGAAGAGTAGCTAATTCCTCTGTTATCTCTACAACCTGGAAAAAAGAGAGAGAAGAAAGAGGGAGATATATGAGTATGTTCTAACATTAAAGAAAATGACAGTTTTATGGTTTTGACTGTGAGGGGGAAAATCACAGGTAATAACTTGTTTTGAATGTAACAGTCAAAATGTAAAAATATCAAAAAGATCTCAGACTCTGCTGTGATATTTTTTAAAAGTATAAAATCCTAATATATTTGTAGAAACAAACATATTTAGTCATTGAAAGTTCTTAACGATTTTAAAGAAAGCAGAATTTTCATCCCAATCACAGTTAAATGTGAGTTTGCACCACTTTGTAAACTAAGATTAAGACACAGAGAATGAACAAAGGGACAAAACAAAGCTACAGCATGAAGACCCATTAGCAAAAAGGTTATTGTAAATAAAGCACAAGATTCAGCAGAAAGAGTAGTTATATTAAAGGAAAGAAGAGAGATAGAGCTAATTAAAGGCAGATTGTGAAAGGTTTTCCACGACATGCAAAGGAATTTCTATTTTAAACTGTGACGTGAGCCATTGAAAGCATTTAAGCAAGCAATGAGTAATGTAATCAGATTGGGTTTTATAAAGATAATTCAGCTGACAAATGAAGGGTGAACTAATTAAAGGGTCAGATAGGAGGATACATTAAAAAAGTCAGATGAGAAATGAAAAGAAATTGGCATTAAAGATAGAAGACAAATATAAAGAATATTTGCAAATTGATATGACAAGTAAACAGGGAAGAGTCTAAGACAACCCACATGTTTTTAGTATTGATGCCCAAAGAAAGATGCCTCCAGTGAAACAGAAAATAAAGGAGACTTGGAATAAGAAAAAGAAAATAATTTAGACATGTTGGGTTTGAGTTCCTCAGAGACAATTAAATGCAAATGTCTAATGTATAGTTGGAAATACACATTTAAAACTCAGTAGTCTGGAAATGTAGCTCTGGTCATTATGAAGGTGTAGGTGATATTATGAAGGGATGAGATAACCCCCAAGGCAGTTGCAGAAAAAGCTGCTGTGGAAGAGAATAACAAGGACAATCAACATTACTGGATGAGCAGATGAGGAGGATCAGGAAAGGAAAGGAAGCTTAACTGATTTCAGAAATAAACCAAGAAAAAACAAGAGACAACACTAAAAAGTCAAAATAATAAAATATTTCAAGAAAAAATAAATAGCCAACAGTGTCAAATCCTAAAATTACTGTCCTGGTGAAGGTAAATTCAAAGAAAATTCTAAGGAGTACTAAGTTTTCCATCCACCCATTTTCATCCTGCTCATCTCTCATAACATACGGAACTGAAAGGAAAATAGGCTGCTTTGCCTAAAAATCTATTCATATAAAGACGCTTTGTTTAAAGAGTAATTCACATAATGGCCATTTATATCCAGATTATTTATCCTGAGCCAGGTGCAAATTAATGGATCTTTCTCTCCTTTTTCTTAACATACATTACATTATAGATTTCCTGCAGTTTAAAGGTAGACTCCTCATGGCCCCTCTCTCAAACAAACCTGTGCATTCCATCTCTTATGTTCTCTGTCAAGCTGATTAATTAAGACTTCTGCAGCTTTGATTGTTTCTTGTGCCTTGCTTACTTCAGCCTCAAGTTTGGCAGCTTCTGAAGTCCTGCTCTGAAATCTATGTAAACATTAAAATTTAATTAAAAGCAAAAAGGATTTGGGAGAGATTTAATGAAATTATCCATAGGTAATAAAGTAAACTTTTATGCCATAATTTAATGATAATACTATTAATGTTTGCATACAAAGTATCATTAATAGAAGAGACAAACCCACACACACACACACACACACACACACACACACACACACACACACACATAAAGTGTAGCATTCTCTACCTCAAAAAACTTGACAGGGCCTCCGTGCTGTACTGCATTATATAAAAATTTGCCAATACGGCATTCAAGGCACTGTCCTAAACATCCCATCTGTCTTTCTAGTTTTATTTCATTATATTACTGATCAGCAAAACCATTAATATATGTCAATATCGGAAGAATTTTACATTATCAGTAAATATCCTATCCTTCATCTCCAGTGTTCTTCAGAATGTTCCATTTGCCTAGAGTATCTTCCAACCACACCCTTCCTCACCCCACAGCCCAACCCCCTCTAACATCTACCACTAAAAATACAAATAAAATTTCAAAATTCATTTTAGTACATTATATATAATCTCTCCCTATATTCATTGATCTTTATGATTTTCTTTTTAAATTATTTTCCTTGAAAAATATGTGTGTGATTTTATTAAATGTAATAGTAATATTTGACATGATTATTTAGTCATTCAACAAATATGTGTAAGTGTTTATAATATGCCCAGGGTGGTGCCAAGCATCAAAAAAAAAAAAACCAGCATTTAATTCTCCAGAACAGTTCCAGTTAAGTATTATAAATCTTATGCTATACATATGTAAACTTAAACCCAAATAAATTATTTCTCAGGTTCTCATCAATAATCAGCAGAGGATCTAAAATTCATATACAGATGTGACTGGCATTAAGTTGCATGTACTTTACAGTATATTTCATTGTCTTTCTAAGTGCCTTCTTCCTTCTTTCCCTAGACATAAGACTCTAGAACCAATTTGTCCAATATGGACAAATAACCACTA